>NC_000002.12:20540058-20691573 GCF_000001405.40 Homo sapiens | reverse complement strand
TCCAGTACTTTCATGGCAGTTATCACCCCCATGACACACAGTGCCTCAGAAGAGCTACATAGACTGTGAGAAGGCTTTCAGTAAAGGTAGTTGGGAAGGCTGGGTGCTGTGGCTCACGCCTGTAATTTCAGTACTTTGTGAGGGTGAGGTGGGTGGATCACTTGAGCCCAGGAGTTGGAGACCAGCCTGGGAAACATAGGGAGACTTCGTCTCTACAAAAAAAAATTAAAAATTAGCTGAGCATGGTGGCATGCGCTTGTGATTCCAGCTACCCTGGAAGCTGATGTGCGAAGGTCACTTGAGCTCGGGAGGTCAAGGCTCCAGTAAGCTGAGATCACACCACTGCACTCTAGACTGGGCCCAGAGTAAGACTGTCTCAGAATAAAAAAGTAAATAAAAATAAAGGTGGCTGTGTTAGCTCCTGTTGACAACTCTCACACTCTATTAGTTTTCATATCCAGTTTAAGACCTGCCAGTTGTCAGGTTTTATGTTTTTATAACGGGTCTATTTACTGGAATTGTAAGTAGTAGCAAAAGGTACAAGTTAGGAATGTTGTCTGTGGATTTGTAGCCCAGCTCTTCAATGCAAAATTGCTTGAAATAAGCAGGTTAATCTTGCTAAGCCTCAATTTCCTTTTCTGTAAAATATAGATACAATACTTTCCTTAGAGTATTGTTGTGAGGATACAACGAGATAATACATAGAAAGTGCTTACTTAGCACAGAGCCTGGCCATTGCTCTCGGCCCATTGGTTCATCATGGTGCATTGCGATTCATTTTTGCATACCGATAAATAAAGAGTATGCACTGTTAACCACTATGTTTTTGGTGTCCAGTTGTTTCTCTTTCTTTCTACTTCACCCCTCCTCCCCCATCCCCCGCCAGTGCCACCACACACTCCATACTTTCTCATTTTCCTGTTCAGGGCTGCAGGTGCGGAGTTCTCCGGTCAGATCTATTGCCTGTGATTTATAATTTATAGGGAAAAGGAAGTATCTCAAGCCAGTGTATGTAAAGGCATTAGATAACCATGTGTTTTACTTGTAAGCCAAGACTTTCATAGGAAGCCCTTTAGAGAATATATAGCCTGAAAAAGAACTTGTAAAAGAAAACAAAATTTTACAAAACGTGAGCCCACCCCCATCATCAGTTAGGCGTTTAACCAAATGGGGCCCACTTCAAACGTTTAAGGATTGTAGAGAATCGAGAAATAAAATCAGATAAGCATACGGGAGGTCTAGACTCCTCACTGTTCTGCTGTCTTGAACACTGACACCACTCTTTGTTGAGGTTCCTAGCACATGCCTTGGACAGTGTGTGCCCCATAATTACTTGGACATATTTGTCTCTTGATACCCTGAGGTGGGTGTCGGGTCCCTTAATCCATGTTGATCACCCCTGCTCAAATCACTGCCTTAACTGCATGTACGGGGATGGTGTTTGCTCAGTGCTGAGGGCTTATCAAGCTGGACTTCTCATTGGAAACATTTCAAGTTGTAATTGCATCACAGAAAAGTAAATGGTACGTTCTTCATGGAAACAGTCTTTGAAATGTCAGACAGAAAGCAACAGCGGTGCGTACAGTGACGCTTTTCTTGTTGAGGAAACTGTATTAGATGAGGTCTTTTCTGTCTGGCTTTCCTTTGAGCTGACTGCCATTATCATAGGACTTCACACTGTAGCTTGTACTGGAGTGAGGGTCCTAGAGTAGCTTTCTCAGGGTCCAGTGATCTTGAGGCGAGAGCATGCCCTGCAGCAGAGGAACAGACCTGACAGGTATGAACCCAAGTCTGACTTTCCAGATTTCTCAGCAGTGTTCCCTGCTCTGAGGAAGTGCTGAGTAACTGCATAGCGACTGTTCCCTATCCTATTCCCTGAATACAATCGAAAAGATTGCTGGTGGTAAATATAGGGAGTAGCTTAGAGAGAGCCTAATGTTATCAGCACTATTGGTAGATAATTAATACCTGCAAATAGTTTGTACTCTTGACAGTATTTCAAGGCAAAGCTATAGCAGGGTAGTTGCTGAGAGATCCGGGGAAACGTGTTTTTCTACTAGTGGAAAGAATAGTCTCCCACTGGTTGTGAGGTTGCAGCATTTTAGAGCTACAGAAAGAGCTGAGACCAGGAGGAAGAACTAGGCAACTGCTAGGCTCTCATATTCTCTAGGAAGCAAAAGAAGTTCTTACTCTGCTAAGAACCATGGCAAAATGAATTCTGGCTTTAGGGGCTTTGGAATGCCCAGAAATGGTTGGAGTGAGGAAAAGTAGGAGAATGCAAAGAATGAATTAAGTGATAAATCTGTAAGTTGCAGGTCCTCTGCAGCGTGCAAAACTGGAACCCCAGGTAACAACCAAGAAAACCTCCATGAAGCTGGAATACTATGCAGTCATAAAAAAGGATGAGTTCATGTCCTTTGCAGGGACATGGATGAAGCTGGAAACCATCATTCTCAGCAAACTGACACAGGAACAGAAAACCAGACATGGCATGTTCTCACTCATAAGTGGGAGTTGAACAATGAGAACACATGGACACAGGGAGGGGAACATCACACACCGGGGCCTGTTAGGGGATGGGGGGTAGGGGAGGGATAGCATTAGGAGAAATACCTAATGTAGATGACGGGTTGATGGGTACAGCAAACCACCGTGGCACGTGTATACCTATGTAACAAACCTGCACACTCTGCACATGTCCCAGAATTTGAAGTATAATTAAAAAAAAAAAAAAAAAAAAAAAAAGGAAACCTCCATGAAGCAATTCAGAGTAAGTCTGCCACTTGAGGTTTACTTGTTCATAATTTACTCTCTGGAGTACTATGTTAAATTTTTTCCTCTATAAAGTGTTTTTAACTAACCATCTAAATATTGGTTAAGGCATCATGTTATTGTAATGAAGGCCATTGTTTTCGTAAGATCAGTCTCATCTGTCCCATATTCAGGTCATGGATTTAATAATTGATACACTCAAACTATCCAGTGAGCAATAACGCCTGCTTCCCTGCACTCTCCTCCCCCAGCACTTGATCACCTCCAATCCTTCTTCTCGTTGTGGCCAGAGTGGTTTTCCTGACATAGGGACCTCAGCATGTCACTTCACTGTGCAGTCTTTTTTGCCTTGTGGACTTCGGGATAAAGCGCAACCTCCTTGGCATGCATAGAAGATGCTGTCCATGACCTCATCCCTCTCTGCCTCTCCAGTCTTATCTCCCACCACCCTATATTCCAGCCATGTGGAATTCCAGTTCCCCACACATGCCATGCTCTTTCAAGCTTTGGTTTGCTTGGTCTTCTCCCCACAGTGTGCTGCCCCAGCTTGAAGACTCAACTGAGGCATCAACTCTGGGGAATCTTTCCTGCCTACTACTTCTGACCAGCTGCACCTCACCTGAGCTCTCAAATTGTCTTGTATACATGGGGTCCCCTTCTCCCCTCCCCCCAAGACTGTCTTATCTCTATTTTCCAGGTTCCTAATACAAAGTAGGTGCTCCATTTGTATTTGATGAACAAAGGAATGAGTAAGCAATTCAGTGTCTGAATGAAGGAGCACATTTGGTATATTAGGGAAGCTGCAAGTGACTACAGCTGGCCAACTAGGGGCTGGAGCTAGGCATAGCTCTGTCTTTCAGTGATAACAGAGGTCAAAGGATCCTTAAGATTTAGTTCTTGGTTTTTGTAGAAATTGCCACTATCTGTTCTTCTGAATATAAGATGTTGCTTTGTTGCCTTTATTTTTAGAACTAACAGAACTAGAACATAGCAGTTTTTCAGTGAAACACAGCAGCCTAGAGCAATATACATATATATCACATGCAGGTTTAGGTAGATATCCATTCAGGGTCTTAGTAATGCCACAGAGGAGGCTCTGTCTCCATTCAGCTGCTTGCTGTCAATTGAAGTATGATTATTGCACTTCCCCACTGAATCAACATACAGGCTGCATAGAGCCTTTTCTTAGAAAGGTCATAAACTCTCTCAGGATTCTGATCACATTTCATCAGCTACATTGGAAAGCCTGAGTCTATCTGATCTGTGTTTGTATTCATTCAACAAATACATCCCATATGACTACCATGTGGCTATTTGGAAACAACTAAGTTTATTAACTGGTCACTAGTCATTCAGTGACTATGTCTCAATAACTGTCTTCGTCATCCTCACCGGCCTTCATTCCAGTGTCCATCCCAACCTTAGTACACAAAACTTTCCTGGTAAGTCGTTTCAGTGAATTATGAGTGATCTATCACACAAGAGTCTCCCAGCATGGGGATCTTCCCACCAAATTCTTCTAAGTGCACTCCTGTACATCGTGAAGCCTTGCTGCCTTGAGAGAGCCACACTCTGGAGAGAGCTTAGGGACTAGCTCCCAGGGTCAGGCGTAGGTGCTGTCCTCAGAGCACTGCCGGCTGCTGGTGTCATATCTGTGTCAGGAAGGGAACGTGTTTTCTAATAAAAGGTTTTTGTCTTGTCTTTCAGCTTACATTTTATTATGGTACTATAGATCCTTGGTGTCCAAAAGAGTACTATGAAGACATTAAGAAGGATTTTCCAGAAGGAGACATTCGACTCTGTGAGAAAAACATACCTCATGCTTTCATCACCCATTTTAACCAGGAAATGGCAGACATGATTGCTGACTCCCTAAAGGATGACTTGTCCAAAATGTAAATTGGCCTGAGGAACAAGCCCCCACTGCCAGTACATGGAGGCAGTCAGTGTACTAGACTTAGTAGGTAAATGTTTAATTTTGAAGACTGATATTAGAAATGAAGAAAGTGAGAACCTTTGTCTTACAAACCAACTCTCCGCTCGCCATGTTATAGGCTGAAGTAAACACAGTTGATGAATCATTCCATAGGTTTAACCATACATTTTCCAAGACTCAGGGAACACAGTGATCTACACAGAGTCTTGTGTTTGCACAAGATGCCCAGTGGCACCATATGGTTTATTTTGGTAGGCAGGATCTTTGCAGATGAAAAAAAAATCTACATGTACTTGATTTTAATTGAGTTACATTGTAGAATAGGCTCCTCTGGAGGAAATTATGAAATACCTACTAGAAAATGTAAAATAAATCAGTGAATGTTAAGAGTATAGTTAGATATGTGAAGTGTATGAGATTATGACAAGGATACACTCATGTTCCAGGAGCAGGAAGTGAACCTGGGTCTCCTGTAAGACAGAAGATGAAGATGAGCCCAGGCTAACTTAGCACAGATCTTGGCTGAGATCATCAATGTGACGTCTAATGTACCTGCACTAGACAGAGAATAAAGTTCACCAGACATTACTCTGGTCAGCTAACCAGATAAAGAATTGTTGAAGGACCCCAACTGTGCCTCCTGCCACAGGACAACCAGCAAGTTCTATGCTGAGCCTTAGCCTCCCAGGTTATAAGCTCCCTGCAGGCTCCTCCTCTCCAGAGCCAGGATGGAGAGGCACTGGGCTGTCCCAAAGCAGGCTTGGATGTGCCAACGTACAGTTGCTCCTTCTGTAATTCTTGCACTAAAACTCCATTAAAGACCATCAATGAGCCAAATAGTGTGCTAGCCATTGAGGATGGAGTTCTTAGCTACTTAATGATTCTTTTCTTCTGGAAATCTTCTAGTGAATAATTTTTAAAAGCTTCTTTTAAACTGCTCAGTAAAACATTGCCATACATTAACTCTCCATTTCTGCATTAACTTCATTTGCTGGAAAGAAATTATTTTGTTAATGAACCAAACCCAGCCATTAAGTTATGTGAATTCACCTTCTCTAGACACATTGAGGTATGGCAGAGAAGACACATATTCCCTGGCCTAGAGTGGGCTGACAATATTGCTGCCTCCCCTAAATTGACTCAATCTTGAGAACCACATACTGCAGTGACAGTTGATCATGGATCAGAAATATTCCTTTTTCTCCTAGAGGAAATCCCTCATGGCATTATCATTCCCTAAGGACAATGAGATG
This sequence comes from Homo sapiens, assembly GCF_000001405.40. Classification (NCBI taxonomy): domain Eukaryota; kingdom Metazoa; phylum Chordata; class Mammalia; order Primates; family Hominidae; genus Homo; species Homo sapiens. Next base: position 20,685,612 of record NC_000002.12, on the reverse strand, counting down.
TCCCTCCGCTCAAATCCTAAAGCCCCCTGATGAAAGATTTGGCTCTGATTTGCTGCCAACTTATTGGTAAGTGCTGAATGAGTTACTGTGCTTTGGCATAGCTTCTACATCACAGCAAGTGACTTCTCAGAGGGGAAAAGCCAAGCTCCAGACAAGGAGTGCTGTTAGCCCAAGGGGAAGAGCTAATAGATACATAGGCCGTAAGCACAGGGCTGTACACAGATCCTTTATTGGCATCTGCATGAGAGGCCTAGAAATCGGATGTTAGAAGCTAGGAATCATGGCTCTGAGCGCCTTGCATACAGGAGATACTCACTGATACTAAATCAAGGCATGTAAACAATACTGGGTAAATCATACCTACCAGAATAAAGAGTAACATTCAGAGCTTTTCTTTTATCTGTTATTTTAAATGTTACTCCATATTTCAAAAGTCTGCACGTATGAAATTGTGTCTTATTTCTGGTTTTTAGAGCCTAAGAAAGATACTCATTCTTAATTCCTATTTATCATCTGAAAACCAAATGAATTTTTGAAATAAATGTTTTACCAGCATTTCTGACCTGGTCTGGCCTGATCTCTGTGTTGGGCAAGAGAGGGTACAATTTGAGCAGTTCTCCTGAGTTAGACTCGGCTCAAAGTCTCTCTTTTAAAGTGAAAAGCCACCTTTCTCATTGCTTTTTTCATAGGTGGAAGAATCAGATTTCAAGAGACTGAAGTTCATTCTGTTTCATTAGGGATTAGACTAAAATGGACAAACAGTGGAAGAAATCCATTTTCCAGAAGCAGCTCTGCCTGTATGTCCCAGTCAACCACATGGATGGTCTTTGTGAAAGTTTTAACTTCCTGCAGAGTTACCGAGTGCTCAGCGATTGAGCTTTGACCACACCCGTGTTTGTTCCTAGTCTGTTCCCAGCCATAAGCATCTCCACAAGCCCTCTGTGGCTTGTGTGGCCTGATGTCCATGGCCACCAAGGGCCTCTCACCATACGCTTCTCCACTCAACCTTTGGAGAGACACGGACCACCAAAGGCTTGATTTTTCTTCATCCTACATTATATTCAAAACAAACAGGCTGGGTGCCGTAGCTCACACCTGTGATCCCAGCACCTTGGGAGGATGAGCTGGGAAGATCGTTTGAGGCTAGGAGTTTGAGACCAGCCCGTGCAAAAAACGAGACCTCGTGTCTAAAATAATTTTTAAAAAAGAGCAAAAAAAAAAAGCAATTTCAGATTAAAGGAGACTGAAGAGACATGACAATTGGACACAACATCTGATTCTGAATTGGATGTTTTTGTTATAAAAGACATTGTTGAGACAATTTGCACAACTTGAATGAGGTCTGAAGATTAGCTGGGAGTAAGATGCCACTGTTAATTTTCTGATTTCAGTGGTTGTACTGGGAAGAAGTAAGAGAGTGTCCTTGTTTGTACTGGAGACACTGAGGTATCTGGGGGTGAGGGGCATCATGTCTGTTTACTGTCAGATGGTTGAGGGGAAAATAATGTTCTTTGTACTTGCAGATTTTTTGGAAGTTTGAGATGTTTTAGAATTTGTAAAAATAATTATTTTTAAAACCCCACCATGCTATCTCCTGCATCCGTGTCTCATTGCTTCTTTTCCAAAAAGGCTATTTCCTCTTGTACGCAGTAAATGAAGACCTGGGTTCAAATCCCAGATCTGTCATTTGTTAGGTTTGTGACATAAGACTTCACTTCACCTCCCTGAGTCCCCCAGCTCCTCATTTTTTTTTTAATGGAGATAAAATGAGGTCATGCATATAGCATTTAGTATGTTGCCTGGCATATGGTGGATTCTCTATAAAATGGTACCTAAAGGAGGATAGCAAACTTGTTTTTCCTTTTTTCCTTTCATTTCTCTTCTCTTTAGTGTAGCAGAGGACCCTGTGGTATCTCAGTCCCTGCACTGTTTCACCAGGCTTGTAACTTGATTCTAGCAGTCAGCATTTTGGCTCTTACGCAGGGATAACACTTGCTCACCTGGCTCAGCTTTCTGGCCTCAGCCCATTCAGGCCTCCCTGCACACAGCCCAGGATGTTCTAACAGTCGATTTAGAAAAGATGCGGGAAGCAAAGCATTTCTTAGATGGCTTGAGACATCTTCATCCCTGGCCTTCTCTTGCAGAAGAGAAGAGGCAAGGATATATTTGGGCTGCTCCTTCCCTTAGGGGTGGGCCTTAAGGAGAGGTTGGAGGCTGGGACTGAGTGTGCTCTGTGAACAAATACATCTGTGGGACCTTGAATGAAGCTCTTCTGCAGGAGTGCTGAGGACAGCAAAGCTCATATGAGTGTTCTTCTAATCACTTTTTAAGAGGATTGAGATTCCTGCCTGTGCCCCATACAGACATGGGTAAGTGATCACATTGGCCCAGGTGAGGAGTGTCTGTGGGACATGGGTCTGGCCTCTCCCACCAGGCTGAAGGCATCTCTAGAGCAAGACCGGCGTCACTGAGTGTGATGCTGGGTGAGCATCCTCAGAGCACGAACGAGGGTCAAAGAAAGCTCTGGGTGGTTCTATGGTTCTATAAAGGGTTCTATAAAGACAAAGCTCTTGGAAGAGAGAAGAGGATGAGGTTGCCCCTAGTCCTAGAAGGGCAGGTAGAACTTGGATAGGTGGTTTGGAATAGATGAGAGCTAATCCAGATAAGGAGTATGCTGCTCACCCCAGCACCTTCACAGTGTCTCACTTAGGCCTCCCAATCCTGTGATGTTCTGACTATGCCCATTATACAGATTACCACTGAGGTGCCTTGCTAAGGACCTCACAGTTAATAGATGACAGAGCTGGGGTTCTCCTGTAGTTGCACATGTCCTCCAAAGTTCGTGTGTTAGAGACTTAATCCCCAATGCAACTATTGGGAGGTGGGTCCTAACAGGAAGTGTCTGAGTCATGAGGGCCCTTCCTTCCTGAATGGATTAATGCCAGTGATAAAAAGCCACAATATTAGGCTGCAAGTTTGATCTCTTGTTCTCTCATGCTCTCTTGCCCTTCCACCTTTTGCCAGGGAGGATGTAGCACAAAGGTCCTCACCAGATGCCAGCCCCTCAATCTTGGACTTTCCAGCCTCCAGAACTGTAAGAAATAAATCTCTTCTTTATAAATTACCCAGTCTCTGATATTCCATTATAGCAACAGAAAATGAACTAAGCCAGATTCCAATTCAGGCCTCTACTCCAGAGCCACCACTTCATCCCCTTTTTCCACTGCATCATGCTGCCTCCTGGAGGCCACAGTGGGCAAGCCTAGCAAAAGTGGAGAGCCGGGAAAGAGAGTCACGCAAAGGGCAAATGAGGACCCGATTGACAGAAGAAGTGACGAGTAGATCGTTGGTAACAAATGAGTAGTTTTAAAAGAATGAAAGCTATAACAGAGACCAGTTTTCAGACGGCAAAAATATGCATCAGGCAGTGGATTGAGAGAAAGCAAGCCCACATGCTGGGAGTCAGTGCTGTGGCTGCAGCCACATGGCCGGCACCTCTGCAACTCTTCCATAGCCACCTGGTCTTATGCCACGCACGGGAGCTTCCTGTGGACTCCTCTGTACAGGAATCACTGCTCCAGCTTTGATTACGCCCATCCTCTACCCCACCCCATGAGACGTGGCCTAAAATACCAACTGCTCCTGCCTCCCAGAGCGGTCCTTCCCACCCTTCCATGCCCTGCCAGTCTTCATGACCCCTGGCCTGGCCTGTGTCTACTGAATGACTTATCATTGCTGCGGGATTGTGTCTCTGCAGTCTGCTCCTCCCTGCCTCCACCAACACCCCTTCTCTCAGGAGAGTCCTAGAAGATGACCTTCTGTCTTAGTCATCTCTGTGCTGTCAGGGCATATCAAATATGGCCTGCTACACAGGGTAGTCTATAAATTTTGTTATCTAAATTAATAAAAAGTTTCTACCATACCTAATAGGCAAGCTGTGAAAAAGTGCAATTCTCACATTGGGTCGGACTACCAGGAAATCACATCTCTGGGCTTCTTCATCTTAAAACTGACACATCAGTGGGAGTGCAGACATGGACACTTGCTCTTTTATCCCTTAAGTGTTTCCCCAGCAGAGCTGTGCACAACTGGGTCAGATAGATTCAAGGATGTCTGAATCTTTGCAGACTGTTTGTGTCTGGCACTGGGGGACTGCAAGGAAGCAAGGCCACTATCCCTTGTGTCCCATTCATCTTGTCTGATATGGCTGCAACTGTTACTTCCATTCTTCTACAATTAGAAAACCTCTGGAGTTTGGGTATTAGCAACTACCAAATATGTAGTTTATTATTTGCTGAGCACTAACCCCGCGCAGCACCCCGAGTGGGAATTACAGCAACAATACACATGACTGTGCTCTGGGATAATCGAGCATTTTCATTTTGTGTTGCATTCCTCAAACATTCTGGCAAAGGGGCCTGTGCTGACCTCCCCACATTGGGACAGATTTCCTTGCTGGGTAAGTCTATGGGAAAATTCCTCTTCCCTGGGATGAGAATGTGACCCTGTGACTGGGCGTCCATTACAGCCAGGGGGTGCGGTGCACCTGCAGGGTCTCCCTCCCTCACAGAGGGACTAGAATCCCGCCTCTGCAAATCCATCCAGCTCAGGCTCTGCAGAACATCTGGGCTTCCTCCTACTGGCCACTGTGAAGGGCCACGCACCTGCATGTGATTAGGACTCGGCAGACACCCACAGCCTATAGGGCTGCATGCTGGTGGCACCTCACAGTGGACAAGTTTCTCCCCAGATCATTGTCCTTTCTGAGCAGATGAGTCACAGGGTTCCTAGGACACAAGAGCACATGCATCCATGACCACGTTGGGCACCACCCTCAATGGAACAGCAGTTGGAGGCATCTTTGCCTTGGCCTGCTTGGAAATGAGCAGGCATCAGAGGCAGATCCAGGACCTGACAGGACCAGGGAAGGAGTGGAGAAGTCAATCTTAGCCGCCTTTACCATTAGTCATGGACGGGCCTTTTAGATTTGCTCTTATCAGTGTCTGGGAAATTGGATAAAATTTTTAATGCCACTCCCGACTTTCCTTTCTCCCTGTAACTACTCCTCTACTGAATGTGTACTCTAACCACAGAATGCTGTGGTAGGTCAAATGGAGACTGAAAAATAAGAAAATGAAAAATGGACCAAAGATGCTTATAAACAAAGCATGACAAGACATTCCAGTTTTCGATGGCAGGGTCATAGAACTTACACATTGATTGTACCTGCCAAATGAGTTAGTTGGAAAGGGAACACAATTTCTCTTCCAAAGAAGAGACTCCTTTATTTATAATAGGAAATCGAGTGGTGAAAAGAAGGCAGGCTTTCTTGATCTTTCACCAGAGAGAGAAAGTTACATAACCACAGGGACCTGCATTAACAAACTGGGATATTGAATTCACCATGAACATGGGCTGCCATCACTGACGAAAATGTGGGTCACTCCAGCAGGCTTCATATCGCAAAAGAGGTAATCCTGGTAACAGTCACTAATAAGGCCAAGTCCCTGTCAACTTCCTACAATTCCTGCTCTGTCATTAGTCCTCTCCCAGAAATATTTAAGGAACACATGAAATAGATTTCTCCATCTGGGCAAAAGTCAGCTGTGAGAGCTGGGATAGCAACAGAACGCTGTGTGGTTGATCCTGTCCTGCTGCATCCTTCGTGGTGTCACCAAGCACAGGCTTTTGTACTTGTCTCGAAGAGTACTGGGCAAAAAAAAAGGCCTGTCGAATTTGCTGTAGGACCTTATTGGGTTCTGTGACGTATGTAATTGGCCTTGCAGAGGAAGCGGCTTCCATGGGACTTTATGCCTTGGGATTTCAGAGACTTACCTGTGCATCCTCCAGGTGGGGAGGGCTCATGCTTTCTGGAGTGAGACAGGTCCTGCAGCAGTCTGAGATGTATAAACACAGAAAACCTGTCCACCCAAACTGCATTTGGAATGACAGTGCTCACTCTACACATTATCATGCTCATTTCCCAAAGAGAAAATGTTTTCCACTGCATTTTGGCCTCCTTTCCTGAACCCAAGCTTGATGTTTTTTACCTTGCTCTGCAGTGACTTCATGCCGTGTGAGGCTGTGTGCAGCAGCATCATATACAGTTTCATACCAGTCACCAAGACCCAGGGTGCAGCCCCCCATACCAGAGGCCCACAGCCTCACACCTGATCTGACAATACAGGGGAATGATCGGCACAAAGGCAAGTGGAGTCAGGCCTGTTATGTCACTCTCACTATTAAAATGCAGTCAGTCCTAAGGCCTCAATAGCTGGTCGCTATTCTATTAATGAGGACTACAGTAACACAGAAAGGCTGAGTAACAAAAGCTGAAAATGTTTTCCTTTAGAGACCAGTCATGAGCGGTTTTATGAATAAAATATTTAATCAACTTATCTGTACAAAATATTAAAATGGTTAATGAAGAGTATACAAGCATGTTCAACAAATATATACTGCTATATAATAGTTAAGAAAAATAGAGATTGCTGTTTTACATGTCATTTACATTTCACTATGTACAATCTATTTAAATTTGAGAATATATATACACATAGGTTTCTACCAGCCCTGGGAGGGCTCCCTGCTAGCTGGCCTGGGCATCGGCAACACCTCACAATGTCAGCTTGCATTGCCCAAATAAACACCCAAGCCAGGCAGCAAGGAGACAGCCCAGCCTGCAAGCCTCGGAGTTCTGCTGTGGCTACACCAGCAGGAAGACTGCTGATGAAGGAGATTTCAGTTTGCCTTAAATGAGTTTCTAATGTCCCCCCACACTCCAATCTCCTTACTCCCAAGCCAAGCTAAGAAAAAGTGGGTGTCACTGCAAAGCGAAAGGATTTCTATCCCCTCACCAAAATAATTCTTTTTGTCTTTAGCTGCTGAGGAAATGGCATGTTACTGAGCCTTGATGGCATTACTGGCACTTTGAGTTTTACCGTTTCCTTAAAATCACAGTACTGGAATCAGATGAAATTTGCTTTCTAAGCTGCAGCCACTCGTCATGTGCAGAATTCTGCTGCCCACCCAAGTCCTGCTTAAACAGCCGCATTTTATAAGCTGGTACGGGAGCTCTGCAACAACCTTCACAGAGAAAGGATCTGCTGCTTTATTTGTATACAAAAAGAAAAAGACAGTCCAAACTTTTCAGAATCCCTTATTGTCATCTGCTGAAAGGGCAAGTTGTAGTTAGCATGTTAATCCTTGTAAAAAATGCATTAACTTTTCATTTAGGGTGAAATGCTTCCAGCTAAAAGACCTAAAGTGACTCAATTATGATTCTTCGTCAAAGAAAACATAAAAGCTGTTTGCATTACAGTGTAAAGTGAAATACAAAAATAAAATTATTCTAAGGATGCTCATGTTTAATCCATGATTTATCCAAGGCAGAGAATGCCAGAGAATTCCTCTCTTGAGAGTCTCTGTTCCTGGCTTAGAACACTTGAGTATTTCCCCTCCAGAAAACATATTTTATCCTGAGCTTTCTTTCTCACTGAACTGCATCATCATTTTCTAAACAGAATGCTGAAGAGCTGACTTTGAGTCTGACAGGCCCTGACCCAGGAAATGAGCCCTGCTTGTGGGCAGCCCCTTCCTCAAGCCAGCCTACTCACCCCAAGCCCAGCTGCTGCTGCTGCTGCTGCCCCAGGCCAGGGGAGGATCCAGGACACATGTGCGTTGTCTGGCCTTGGCAGCCCTCAGTCACTCAGAGATAAAAAGGTGCAGGCAAGGGGAGGCCCTCAACACACCTGGTCACTGCTTTTCAGACTCATTCACCAAAAAATCCAGGCATGGGCTGCCCATAGCCCATGAGCGGTCTCCCCAGGATGACCTGTGAGTACTAAAAACCAGAGAAAAGGTGTGTGCAGTTGCACCAGCTCACCAGCTTCGGTGCTGTCGCTTCCCATGTTGCAGCTCAGGAAATGTCCTCGAGGGAAGTTTAGCCCCGTTTGCTTTGGATTCGTTCCTGTTTCCTTCTAATTCAGCAGGATGCCTGTTAACGAACCTTACTCGGAAGTCTCGCTTTGGTCAGCCATGGTTCTAGATTCTGGCAGCCAAAGGTCTGGGCAGGAGCTAGATGCAGAACTGGTTGTGGCTGTTGCCACTGCTGGTCAGATGGAGCAGTGCAGGTATTCTGCAGAGAAGACAGCCACTTGCCCACCTCCTGCCTGGACAAATCTCCAGCCCCCACTACGTAGCACTCCTGTTGGCCCACAACACAAAAGGTAATGAAACGGGAATGCAGATGCAAAGCAGCTGGCCGTGCCCTGGCCGCTCTGGACCACTCTGCCGAAAGTGGCCTGGGTGTGACAGAAGCTTCTTGTTTTTCTAGACAGTTTATTTCAGCATCCCCTTACTGACATAGAAAAGAGATTAAAAGTTTCTGTAATACAGCTTCTATCAGGTGGCCCTCTCTGGAGTGAAGCATTTCTAAACTAGCAGAAGGAAGTTCATCTGACAAAAAAAGAGTGAAACTGTACTTCTTGTATCATCACACCAAGCTGTCCTGCCAACAAATTCACCTGACTGCACAGAAACACCTCTCTCCGGAAGTTTCTGTGACCGCTGCAGCCCCCTTGCCACTGTCAGGGAAACGTGTGAGAGAAACCCACCCTTTCTGTTGTCACAGACACATGCGCACCATGCACAGATGCTAGAAGAGGCCTGCAAGCTCTGCAGAGGCAGGAGGAAGTGGACCATCGCACGCTGCTCTGCTGCTCTAAGGGCATATTTTTGCTTTTTCAGCAACTGTGAGCATAACTTGAAACTCAGTCTGATTTTTCAGTGACTTCACACCCATTTTTCAATGACCACCCATCCTGGGTTGCTCTGCTGTAATTGGTCCTGCCGCCATGAAGCACCAGCCCAAACTTTGCCCAGCCAAAGGCCTGTCGCCAAGTTGCAGGCCACAAGCCAAGCTCTGGTTAAGGTGGGTACCTGCAGGTCATGGGCAGACAGCACCCCTAATGATGATCAGAGCTCACGCGGCAACTTCTAGGCCCTCAGTCACCCCTCTGATTCACTAGGCCAACTTTCAGCCCTCTCCCTGCAGTCTGTGTCCACCAGGTGTCTCCTCAGGCTAGGACGGTGGCCCTCCTGAAAAAAACAGGCTTCTTTCACAACAGCCTCACTCAGTTACTATTTGTGACGCACTAAGCTGTGCACACAGATTAAAGTCCAGAACAGCACAGAGGGAGGAAGACAGCTGTGCTGCAGCCTACATGGTCAGGAGGTTCCAGGTACAAGATGCCAAGCTGTCTGAAAACTTAGAAATAAACATCTTTTTGGGTCCTCCCTTCTGGTGCTTCTTTATGTTAACTTCTCCAGACCACAAAAAGGAAGAGAGAGACAAGCTCTTCTGATGCTACCCCAGGGTCACTCCCCTGGGAAGCTGCAAGGGGACCTCAGAGCCAGACATGGGCATGGTGGTGAGGAGGGGGTGAGGACCCAAGGAGTCCATTCTGGGACAGTCCTGCCTGCCTCATCCAGGGCTTCTGGGACAGTCCCAGGCCCCCGTTTGGGTGACCAACCAGGCACAGCCTTGCCTTTACCCTTCTGCCTGCAGAGGCCCCAGCAGCAGGTAGAGCCCTTCCCAGCACTAGGTCTCTCAGACAGTCTCAGCTTGAGTGTGGCTCCGCCCACCCCACTGAGCACAGGAGGAACTGCAGCTGGATGGGCAGTGCCCTCAGCCAGCTCCTGGCTCTGGGGAGCTGAACCCCACCCTCAAGGTGCGGGCCCTCCCCACACCTACCTCAGCCCAGGGGAATTCAAAGCACATCCATGAGGCACCTATTAAGGATAGGAGTAAAATGGACACACGCACACACATGCACATGCACAGGCAAGAGCTGCGAAACCGGTAAGATGAGGCTCTGGGACTGGGATTGGGAGAGGACCTTCTCCAGGAGCCATCACATTTGCTCTGCCTTCAAGCTATCTGAGTGGGTTTTGAGGCAAGGTAAAATCCTAGAACCTTGGAACTGGAAAGGGCATCATTTTACAGGGCAGAAGATGAAGCTCCAGCAGGGAGGTGACTGCCCATAACTTGCCTCAGACGTCTCTCAGGAGACGCCTTGTGGTGCCCTGGCCCCTGAGCGGCCTCCCCTGGCGGGCGCAGTCCGTGCTGTGGGAGCAGCTGCCTCTGGGCACTCGGAAGCCCACAGTGGGCTCTGACTCTGGTGCAGCTCAAATATACCATCCACCAGAGGGATCTAGTTACTTTCCACTCACCCAAAGTTTGGCTGCTGGGTTCGCTCGGCAGCTTCCTCTCTTCCCTTCCCAATCCAGACACTTTCTGAGGGGTAAGCGCAGGCCCAAACTCCCTCTGCTAGACTGCTGCTTTCAGAGCCTCGCTCCCTCCAGCTCACTGCGCGATCTGACTCAGACCTCTTGGCCTATGGCCCACTGAGGGCCAGTGGGAGGCCTGTCTCACTGAGATGACAGGTTCTCATGAGAATCAGCGAGGCCCAGTGATTCTGTGCCCCCAGAGGCAGCCTCAGGACACTCTCTTCCTGCCACTGGATTTCCTGGAGACCAGATTCAAGCACAGGAAAAGTCTGACCTTATCTGTGCACGAGCTGCTCTTGGAAAGAACGTAATTTTTCTCCCTGCTCTAAGAAGAAAATCAGTCTACAAATCCTGGTTGTTTTCTGCTGTGAGTTTAAATGAAATTGCCAACAGCATATACAATGTGTAGGGATTGAATTACACTCCCTCCTGTTCCATCCACGGGATTATCGGTACTCTCTTCAGTACCCAAGGTGAGGCGCCCACTCCTGCCGACACCATGAGAGCTGCCAGGGAGAAGTGACTGTCCTTGGCTTCGTGGAGTCTGGATTCTTCTATCACACAATCCACACCTCATATCGTTGCCAGGAGGGTATGGTGAAGGGGAGCATGGATACAATGACTGAGCACAGCTCAAGCCTGGCTTCCCCAAGCTAACACAGCAAAGCCTGCCACCTTCTCTGGAAGACCCAGTGCGGCTGTTTGGAAAGTCAGAATTCAACAAGGCAAGTGTGTTTGGGAATCAGTGGAAATGCCCGCCTGCCAGTGTGGGTGATCCTCCTTAATACGAAAGCCCTGGTTTCAAGCAGCAGTGACCAGGCTATCATTGTGTTTGACAGACCCAGCACCAGCCCCCGTTGGGCCCCAGCTGGCCTGTCCCGAGCTCCCTAAGTAGGGATGCCAAATCCTACTCACTAGCAGGAAATCCTGGTTCAAGTGATGTCAACTAGTAGTGCACAATTCTCCCTACAAAATGGAAAATTCTGTTTACTTTAGGAGGGAGACTTTGGTGACCTCAGGTTGGGGTTGAGGGGACAGCCTTTCCTCACAGTCTTGACATGCTTTCTCCCTGCCTGTCAGTTCTCCCATCCATGGTGACTGGAGATTCCAGCTGGGGGTTGCAACAGAGAAGCTGGGTTCATGCCAGTCACCCAGGCCTGTCCCCCGCTACCTAGAAGACAGAGAGCTCAGGGTGCTACTACCAACTGTGCTGGCAGAACGCTTTTCTCCACACCTTGGCAATGCTAGTTAAACCACATCTTAGCAGCAAAAAGCCGTCTGCCCCACATGTGTTGGCCCTTTGTTGTCATTTTTACAAGTGAAATGGATCCTCTGCATTCACCTAGTGAATGGACTGAGATGCCAGAGGGCTGGGCAGAGTGGCCCCTGGGGGCTTCACCTGCTCCAGAGGAAATCTGGGAAGCATTCCTTTTATCCAGTAAACAAAGAGCACACTGAGGGTATGGGGCCATGGAAGGAACAGTCACTGTCCAAGGACAACACCCCTCCCACCGGGTGCCACCTGAACTCAAGATGCAGGAAGGTACCTACTTCCCACACCACTCACAACACATCTCGTTAGAAGGAGGTCATCAGAAGGAAAGAGGGGAAATTGACAGTTTTTTTCCCTACTATAAAAAGGCCAGGCTAAATCAAGACATTTCTGCCCAAAAAATTGTTTTTACTAGTCACTAAAAAAGTATCAAAATGTTTGCTTTTATCCAAAGATATTAAATACCCCAGACCTTCCTCAAAATAACATTTAACTGCACTTTGTCATTAACTTCCTTTCTAAACCTTCTAATACTACAACTTTCAACACTTCAGTGCTTTTTTTAATATATAATTCTTCATTATGACAAGCTTCATTTTAAAAACGAGAGTGAGGCATCTCTGGCAAAATCCACAAATTTAGGGACCATCTTTGCCCAGTCACTAAAATAAGATGGAATTGTACCAGAGCAGCCACTTTTGGATATTTTTAAAATTTTTAACCTGAAGAGACTGTTCATGTTCTGGTTATTTATAGCTACTCATACAGCCACAGAATATAAATTCACATAATAGGAGGAAGGGGGGAATCTTAATTTTAAGAGTAATTTACACGTGTATTTTTTTTTCTTTTGGGAGAATTTTACAGGATGAAAACCGATTCAGGTAGGGCCCCTAAGTAAATTAGCTGTATCTAAATCGTAAGTCTGTCTTCTCTCTCTCAAGAGTGTAATCACTGAGAATCAAAATGTGTATGAATTGTCCTGCATCCAACACAGGGTGGAAATAATGCTCCCCAGGACTCTGAAGGGGAAAGTCCTACACAACATCACACAGATGCACCGAGAGGGCTGCGGGGCTGTTCTAAGAAGCCCCCACCCCGGACAGCTGGAGTCCAACTAGGTTCCCTCTCCCAGCCTATTGACAAAAAGCCACAAAGGATTCCCAGGCATAAACAAATCAAATCAAACAGTGAAGTCTGAATGTTCGAACTCACTTTTACATGCCTAGAAAATCCTCCCATCAATAAGACCCTTTGGGGCCAAATAAGGGAACTGGGGGATATTCCACCTCTGCTCCCCCACACCAAGGCCCTGCCCTTCCAAGGGCACAGCAGCCAAGCCAGGGAGCCGATGAGGGGAAGGGGCAGACCTTCCCCCTGCTCTAAAGGTCTGGGTTGTGAGTTGAAGTCTGACAAAAGCATTTTTGAGTGGCTTCACTTCCCGTTACTATCACACTGCCAACAACTACAGCAACAACACAGCGAAAGCAGGTAAAAAGCGGAGGCCGACTTACTTGATAACTAGCACAAGCCCGAGTCGGCCCCGGGAGCTTCCGCCTACCTGGCCGGCAAGCCGGAGTCCTCGGCTGGAGTGGGCCCCAGGACACCTCCTTGCCTTTCAAGCCCTGAGAGCCTCTTCCCTGGCTTCTTAGGAAAACCTCCTGGCAGGTCTCTAGGAAAAGCAGTAGCTCCCCTCCCCCAGCCCCACCTTCCCCATTCCGGGCCATTGCACTAACTTCCTCCTGAGCCACCCGAGGCATGGCTCCCACCTCCCCCTGACCAACTGGGGAGCTTCCGAACCTGGCAGATCCTATCCCACCCCAATATCCTGTTAGATCAGACTCAGCCGTTTAAAAGAAAAATATCCTTTCCACTTTCCATAACATTTCCTATTGGAATTGATTAAAAAAAAAAAAAAAAAAGGCGGGGGGGGGGGGGGGGGTGGCGGTACCGACCTTTGCAGAAATCTGGGAAGCTCCACAACAGCTACTTTCAGACAAAACTTCCCTTTCAAAAATGAAGCAGGGGCACGTTAAATTTTAAAAGTTAAAAAAAGAAAGATGCTTTTTGCAGCAGTTCCAGGGTAAACGGCCCCATGCAACACAAACCCTCGGGAAGGGCATTACAGCCTTGCAGTGGGTCACGGAGTGCACCACGCGGCGCTCAGCCCCCCAGGGAAGCGATGCCCCACATCGGGCCAGAAACAAAAGGGGGTGAGATAAAGCATGCTCGAGTACCCCTTTGGTTCTCCCATTCTGGAACTTCGAATTTCCTAACCCGTTGTTGCTACCTGATTTTCGTGCCTCTAACTGCAACATCAGCACAAACACCTTCCTCTCCCTAAATGGGGGCAGTGGGCGCCATGGTTATCTGTTTGCAAAATACACAGGGCTTTGACATTCGGTACCGGCAGGTCATCTCTTCCCAAGGCTTTCACATGCTGTCCCCGGTAAATGTGTGCGTGACTGCACGAGTGTGTGTGAGTGTGAACGTGTGCTCTCCCTCCTCTGAGAGGGTGCTGGGTCACATCGGACATGCACCCACGCTCGGTGACAGGGTGGCCCGCTGCTGCTCATCAGCTGGGGATCCTCGGCCGCGTGGCTGCCCCCTCCCCGGCCCTCGCGCTACCTGCAGCCGCAGGCCTCCACCACCATGTCCTCGTATTGCTTGTAGACAACGTTGTTGGCGGCGTCGATGTAGAGGATGCTGATGGGGCTGAGGCGCGCTGGCACACAGCAGGAGGCCGGCGCCGCGTCTGGTGCCATGGAGTTGAGCAGCGTCTGAATGATGGCATGGTTGGTGGGCTCGAGGTGCGAACGCAAAGGGAAGTCGCAAAGGCCCTCGCAGTGGTACGCCTCGTAGTCCAGCGGCGCGATGATCCAGTCGTCCCAGCCGAGCTCCTTGAAGTCCACGTGCAACGGCTTGCGGCTGCAGCGGCTCCGGCCCCTGCGCCCGTGGCCCCGGCCCGCGCCCCCGCCGCTGCCCTGCGCTGTCCGCGTCCCGGCCAACGCCGTCCTCCTCCGTCTGCGGCCGCCAATGACTGCCCTTGGCGACGCGGTGCCGGTTCCTGGGTCGGGCAGCGGCTCTGAGGCCAGAGCGGCCCCGAGCGCGCGGGCCTGGGCGCGGATCTCCCGGAATAAGCTCTCTTTCCTCTGCGTGCGGGAGGAGACGACTAGCACCGCGCGCTCCTCTGCCGCAGAGCCCCCTCCGCCCGGCCAGCCGAAGCCCAGCCGCCGCAGTGCCAACGGGCTCGGCACCGGGCCTGCCACTGCGCGCAGCAAGAGGCAGAACGCGCGGGGGGGGCGCGGTTCACGACGGTGGCGCCTCATGGCGTCCGCCACGTCGAACGCCTCCCAGCGCTGACCGACTAGGGGCTCAGCTGCCCGCGAGTACAGCAGGCGTGGCGCTCGGGCGGCGCCCGGGCACGTGGACAGCAGCAGCAACGGCGGAGAAGTCCAGCTGCCTGGGCCCGACTCTGGAGATCCCCGGCGCAGCACGCGCAGCTCGGCACCCACCACCTCGTCTGCGTCGTTAAGGCTGGACACGTCGAACAGGAAGCTCTGGCCTGTTTCGGCTGCCGATTCGTCTGCGGGGGACCGGCAGGGACAGAGAGAAAGAGCTGTGTAAGAGCAAATCCTGCACACTGTCAGCGCGGGGCCTCCTAACAGCAAATGGCCCAGCTGTCTTCGATGTGGGAGCCAGGCCTGTTGGAGCCAGCGCCCGACTCCGCGTCTCTGCCCCAGCCTGAACGCTGCCAGCCTGGCCCAGAGCAGCGGACGTCTTCGCCCGGGATATCCGAACCGAGCTTTGGTTTAGCAAGCCAAAAGTCCCATCAGGCCAACAACCCATGGTCACTGCATATCCCTGAGCCGCGGGACCAGGAGCGCACCCCTACACCCAAGACCAGGACTGCAGGCTGCTATAGTTCCGCGGCCTGACCCAGAGCCGCGGGCCAGAATCCGAGATCAGAGTCCGGGGCTGGGTTGAAAAGAAGTCGTGCACCCCCTCCTGAGGTCCTGGGCCTTAAGGAGACTTATCGTTATTGCCCTGCTGATCCCCCAAGAGAGCCGAAAGTCCTGGCTGTGCGAAAACGGAAAATTCTGGTCTCCTGAAAACTCTTCTGCTACCTCTGTTCCCCCAACCCAGCCTGGACATCCCTGCTGGCCACGGTCTCCCATGCAGGCTGGGGCTCGGCGATTCGTCCGGGAGAATTCGTCTGCACGGCCGCAGAGACCTTCTAGTCCAACTTCGCTCTGCCGAAGGGGAACTGAGGCCCAGGTAGGGGCCAGGCTCGCCCAAGGTCTCAGGTCTTGCAACAATGGGCGCTGCTGCTCGCGATCGCAACCCCAAATGCACCTCCTCCCGGTGCTCTCGCGGCCTCCGAAGGAGGGGGAAAGGCAGTAAAGGAACACAAGGAACCTCCCGGAGGGGTGCGGGGCATCCCGGAATGACCTTGCTGCAGTGAGGGCAGCGTCCCAAACGAGGTCTCGCTTCCAGGAGCCGCCTGTCTGTCCCTTCGCGGGCTCATTCTTCCCTCTGTAGTGACTTATCTCGGGCTTAGGGGTTTTATTTCCAGTGTGGACACTCTTTTTTCTTTTTCCTTTTTGGGCTCAGAAAAAAAAAAAGTTTAAAATTCCACCACGCAGCAGATAAGGAGCTCCCTTTGAAGGGGGTCATATGGTTTCGTTTTGCCCCTAAACTCGGAGAGACTATGCAGAATCCCCCCACCACTGGGGATTTGCTCACCAGCCACGAAGGTCAGGCCCTCATGCCTGAGGTCCCGGTTCTATCCCTATCAATGGCTTCTGGGGACCTCAAGCAGCCCTGTTCCAAGTTGAGACTCAGGGTGGAGAGGGAGGCCGGAGAGGCACACTGGGGCTGCACGAGGAGCACTTTCTCTGAGATTCCCTGCAGATCCTCTGCCTCTCCCTGCTCACCAGCCCTGCCACTCTGTTTCCCCCAAGAGGGAGGAGGGAGAGGAGGCCTCTCAGGCTCAGCCAGCCAAGCTGAGCTCCCCAGAAAGGATTTATCTCCTGTCTGAGACCATGGTAGAACTAGCTCAACCTTAAGAAGACTCTGGTGCCTGTGCCCACTTAGAGCCCAGCACACCCCCCTTCTCCTGCAGCCTGGGACCCTTCAGTCCCTGTCCCTGTGCACCAGAACTAGGGCGTCCTATAAGTATCCCAGCATCCAGCCCAGGGGCCATGTCAGGCCGTCAGAGAAGGCTTGATAGTTCTAACCGAACCACAGGGCCATTTGGGGATTGGGTACCAAGATTTCCAGGTACCAAAAATAAGGCAGTCTGTGCTAGGCACTGGGCATGTGCTGGCAGGGATGGATGACCTGGTCACTTGCAAGGCCTCTGCCTGCCTTCCCAGGCTAGGACCTGAGGTATGCTGACTGTCAGTGGCTCCCAAGCAGGGCTGCCTCAGCCCCACCCGCTCACTTCCCAGCCCTATTCGCCTTTCTTTCCCTCCTGCCCTCCATGCTGGGTCTCTGGCTGGATAGAATTAAGGCCGAAATTACTTGCATTTCCGCCTGAAATTAGGTAAATTTTCTCTATCTGTCTGCTTTAATGATTTCAATGGAGATTAATAAAATCCAGATGACATACAGCAGCCACACCACAGCCTCACCTACATCTTACCTTTGGAAGGCCCAGGGCAGAACAAGGTGGGGTGCTTAGTCTAAGAGAGGCCTGCATTCCTGCAGGGTCCCCAGCAGGCCTCTCCTCCCCACACCACCAGGATCCTTGACCTCTGGCTCTCCCAGGGGCCCAGCACCAGACACAGGCACCCATAGCTGCACATGTCACACACACACAAACCACCACCACCCAGACCAACCTGCTGAGCAGGGCACTCCTCATACCTGGTTATGCCACCAGCCTCTCCAGGGCCATTTACTTTAGTCTGATACCTGCCTCTGCCCTAGTTTTCCCTGGGCTTCCCCCAATTTGTGTGGCCCGCAGGAGACTGGGAGCTGCAGAAATTGCTGCAAGGAAGGAGCCATCACCCTCACCACCGTGCAGTCCCTCTCGCCGTGACTCCCGGGAACACAGCTCTTGCCCTCCTTTCTTCTCTGAGGGCTCCGAGGCCACTCCAGACCATTCCCCAAGAAGCGAATCTTGGCCTCCGCCTGCCTCCTCGAGGGGACCAGCCGGCCTGCAAGGCCAGGGAGACCTGGGAGAGGGACCAGTCAGCCCTCTGGGACTGGGCCCCGGGAGCTGCCGCGACTCTCGCCACAGTCCAGGTGCAGCGGGCTGGAGAGTGTTGGCCTCGGCGAAGTTTCTTTCTATCACCTGAGGGTGGGCCGCATGGGGCCGCGGCTCCAAATGTAACGGAGCTGCGGCACGGCTCCGGGGCTGGTCTCAGCCCAGGACCTGACGGGATGGGCGGGCACAGAAGAGGCGTAAGTACCTTGGGTCGCCTGGTCTGTGAAGCCGGTGATCGTGTCCGCGCGACCATGGCCCGAGGCGGAGACAGCGGCTGCCCCGGCCGGAGCCCTCCCGGCCAGGCTCCGGTAAAGCGACATCATGAAGTGGTGCGGCACCACCGAGCCGTTCCTGAAGCCGGAGCCCGCGGCGCGGCGCGCGGCGCGGGCCCGGGGAACCGCGGCGGCCGGGACAGCCGCGGCGCCCGCAGCCTGGGCAAGAGTCCGCCCGCCGCCGCCGCCGCCGCCGCCGCCCCCTGGGCTCCGGACCGGCCCAGCCCCCGCCGCTCGCAGCACGGCGGCCGCTTCCAGCCCGTCGCGGGGGCGGCAGGCGCTCAGCAGCCAAAGGCACAGCGCGGCGGCGGCGCTCAGGTCCATGGGCTCCGTGGGCCGGGCGGGCGGGCGGCGCGGGCTCCGTGGCTCCGGGAAGTCCCCCGGCGCCTTTTGAACATAGTGTTTAATAATGGGGGAAGTGTGCGCGGCCAGCCCGCGGCCCCCCCTCCTGGCCCACCCCACCCCCGCCCAACGCCCGGAGCAGCGCCCCCTGCTGAAAGCTCCGGCGGCCGCTATGCGCCCCCCACCCCGGCCTAGAGTGGAGACCAGGGCCGGAGCCGCCTCCTCCCACCGCAGCGCTACGCCCCCACCCTCGCCAAGCGACTGCCACTGGCCCCAGCCTCCCGACACGCCTCCCCGCGGCAGTGCGACACCCCCTCCATCCGCCCAAGACCAACGCGCCCTCCGTGGTTCCAGGCTCGGGGCACCGCGCGCACCCGCCCAGCTTCCTCCCCACTCCCCCGCAGAGAAACACCCGCCCCCTCCCTGCCCTGGTTCCCAATGCCGGGAACGGGGCGGCAGAGTTGGGGCCGCGGAAGGGCTCGCCCTCCAGACCGCTTCGCGCCGCGGCCGGGTGGCCGCGCAGAGAGAGGCCACAGGATGCTCCCGGCGGCCTCAAAGTCGCGTTCCGGATCGCGGGTCGGCGGTTCCCCACTCAGCCACAGACCCCAAAGGATTGCAGCGGGCGGCCAGAGCAGGGGAGGGGGCCGGTAGGGGAGGAAGGGAGGGCGAGGAGCTGAAAGGGCAGGCCTGTAAGAGACCTTTGGACGCGGACCGCCCGTCGTAAAAGCAAGGTTTGGGCGCGGAAGTTGCGCTTCAGCGGGAGCCAAGCTCTAGAAAGAGCTCGAAATGAGGACGGCAGCCCCGGGTGATGGGGGATCTCGCGCGGGAGTGCGCTAAGAGTTTGGCTGTGCGTCCAACTGGCGACCTTCCACCCGCCTTCTGGGCGAGGGCAGCGGCTAACGAAAACCAGCTACCGGCTGTGTGCGTGAGCGGCCAGGAGCCGGGAGAGCGGACGGCGCAGAGCCCCGGGATGGCGCCTCCGAGCTTCTTACCCCGCCGCGGTGATGGCGCGGGTCCCGAGGTGGATGGAGGGGACGCCCGGCAGCGGCGAAGCCCTGGGGCGCACTCGCGCGGGCCGCAGAGCAGTTTGCTCCGCGGCTGGGACAGGTTGCGGAGGCCAAGTCTCAGGGGAACGCGCAGGAGAGGGGGGTTATCGGCTCTGCTCCGCCGGCAGCCTGGACATCCCCCTAGATCGGAAACTTTCAGCTGATCGAAGGCCTGGGCCAAACGAACTGCCGAAGAAGGGCAGGCGGGTCCTTTTCCTTTAAAATTGCATTTTCTGCAGAACTCAAAATCTAGACTGGGTCGGCACGTCGTGATCACCTTGAGCGGGTGATCAGCTTCAAAGCGAGGTCGCCCGCCGAATCCAAAGCCGCCTAGGTCCCGACGCCTGCCTGGCTGCGCTGCGCTGGGACCCACAGAGAGGCCCGGCCCAGGCTCCCCAGTTCCCCTGCTCCACTGCTTCGTCCCAAACGAACTCCTCAGCCATTGCCCTCTCGGCCACCGCGGAGACGCGGCGCCTGCTCACCTTGGGGCATTGAGCCGCATAACACTCGAGAATGTTTGCGGGTGGGAGAGAGAGGCCTAGTGAGGTTCAGTCCTCGCAGACCCCAAGGCCGATCTATGCCAAGGAGAAAGGCCTGACATTACCGGGAAGGGCGGACCCCTGGACCAGGGTCAGCGCTGCCGGCGCTGAGGGACTTCTCCTAGCAGGAGCCTGGGGAATCTGGGATGATCGAGCTGGGATAGTCCACCCTGCTTCTAGGACTGGGATTGGAGAGTCGGTGACAAACACCGCCGCCCCCACTCCGCCAGCCCCCCGGTCTCTCCCTGACGCGGATGCTGGGTCCTACTGTGTTACTTGGCTTCCTTTCCCCCTGCAGCCATGCGCCCGCAGTGTTTGGGTGTTTTACAAATCAACTCGGCTAAGATTTGTGCAAACACGCGGGGAGTCCTGGGTGACAGCAAGTCGCTTGCCTTGTCTTGGCTTCAGTTTACCCGGCTGTGTAGAGCAGAGAGCGGAAGGGTCCTAGCACATTCTTGGCACAGCCAGTGACAAACGTTTGTTGATTACATGACACCCCTGCCACGTTGGGGCTTAGGAATGAGGGATGCACCCTTGCTGTCATTGTGGGAGCAGGCCACTTAGCCTCTTGGAGACCGAATTTCCTAATCTATAAAATGAGCGGATTCTCACCTCATCCTGTGTGTGGCTGGCATAACAGGCTGGCACAGAGGAGGTGATGTAGTCTTGCCCCCAACCACCAGTGTGTTCCCAGTGCCAGGGGTGATCATGGCAGAGAGAGAAGCAGCTTCTACGCACCTGGAAGGCTTTGGAGGACACACATGGGGTGGGCTAATGCTGCTGGAGCCACTGTCCACTCGCTGTATGTGCTCCAACTGAGACTTCACTTCTCCCACCTGTGCTTCTTGGTCTGTATGGTGAGGGCACAGTCATTTATTTATTTATCCGTCCCTCTATTCATTCCTTCTTTATGTAAATACTCATTGCCAGGTAGCCTTCGGTGCATTGTGGATTGAGCAACGCACAGGGCGAGCACATGGAGCTTTAGGATGGACACAGGAGACAGCCAACAGGAAGCGCATAAATGCACAGTGTGCTATCCAGTGGTTCCGAGTAAAGTGATGGGCTGGGGGGCTCTGTGATCAGCAGAGGACACATTGGAGCCGAGCCCAGGAGGAGGCAGAGAGGATGCATGGGTCATGCCTGTCTCCCTCGCTCCCTGTAAATAATGATAGTGCCCATTCGTTGTCCCTTGAATGTCAGGCACCTTGCCTGCTGCTCCACACACCTCATGCCATTTCATTCTCACAACTACTCTATCCTGTGAGATGGGTATTCTTCCCATTCTATAGAAAAGGAAAGTTGAGCTAAAGAATTCAACACCTTGCGCAGAGTCACCTGGAGAGTGGCAGAGCATGGAGTCATCAACTATCCTTGCTCAACCCTTGGCTTGGGGCTGGGGGATGGGAATGTGAGGGGCTTTGTTCTGCCGCCCTGCTCCCCAGACCCCAGTGGAGAGGCAGAGTATGCCTGCCTTTCCTCTCTGGCTTTCTAGAAAATTCTTGGCAAAGAAAGGACCTCTCTAGTCCAGGTGAAGACTATGAAAGTGTTACCCAGGGGACTCTTGCCTGCCACTGCTCGCAACTGGAAGCGGAAAACACTTGCCATGGAAAATAGCCTGTCATACCAGCAGCAGGACCTGCCCATGACCCAGGTCTCCAGGTGCCCTGCCCAGTTGGGACTTCCTCTTAGGTGATGTGGGGATCCTTAGGTCGATTGGCTGGGCAGGAGAGAGCTAGTTTGCACAGCCCGGAGCCCTTGAAGCTGTGCACCACATGCTAACTGCACTAAGAGCCTTGAGAATGAAAACCTTCCTCTGTGTTGCCCCAGCCATCACTGGGGAGCAGATGAGGCCCAGAGGCAGATGTCAGGAGCAGAGATCAGAGAAGGTTGGGAGAAAACTGGGGCCTGAAAGCCCTAACTTTAGTTCTTCATCCATCTGATCACCCCCAAACCCCAGACCTCCAGACTCCAGCTGAGTCCTCCTCAGAGAGAGAAGGTGAGATTGCCTCCAACGGAGGGAGGAGGGGAAAGCAGCCTGCTTGGGGCGATGTTTGACAACTGGGATGAAGAGGGGCAGTTCCCACATTCCCGCCCCAGACCCTTCCTTGCAGAGCACTTTGCTGCTCTTCCACCCCTTGCAGAAGCTGTTTGTTTTCTCTGAACACCAAGTCCCTGATTCAGTCATAGAATCCAAGGATCTGAAAACAACTTTTGGGGTTATTATTTAAGCCAACTTGCCATGCATGCCTGAATCATAACAAATTGCTTCCTGGGCTGCACTTGCATACCTGCAGAGGTGGGGAACTCCCTATCCAAGGCAGCCTCTGATACCTCTGAATGGGAGGAAGTTCTTTTTTGTTCTTTTTTTTTTTTTTTTTTTTTTTAGGAGACAGGGTCTCCCTCTGTGGCCCAGGCTGCAGTGCAGTGGCAGAATCATGGCTCACGGTAACTCAAATTCCTGGGCTCAAGTGATCCTCCTACCTCAGCCTCCCTAGTAGCTGGGTCTACAAGCACAAGCCACCACACCCAGCTAATTTTTAAAAATATTTTGTAGACACAGGGTCTTGCTGTGTTGCCAAGGGTGGCCTCAAAGCATCCTCTTGAGCCCAGGCTCAGTCTCCCAAAGTTCTGGGATTACGGTTGTGCTTTCCTGTACCCGGTTGTGAGGAAGTCCTCTCTACTACTACTAGGAGAGCCACATCTCTCGAAGGTACCTTTGCTGTGGGGAGTTTGCATGTCATCTGGGAACCTACAACACTAGATTGATACTACTTAGGGAGTTAGTCTTGGATCCCGCCAGCTACAGCCATTTTGAAGCGACTGTCAGGTACGGGAACTTGGGCAAGCCCCAGCTGTAGCCTACTCAGCCTTGCCCAGGGTCTCCTGCCATACCCAGACACCTGGCCCCATGTCTGATGACAAGACAACTAAAAGATCCCTTAGAGGCAACCTACTCTACATTGTCCACATGCAGAAGCCAAGTCCCCAACAAGGGGATGTGATCAGTAGCCTGTCATTTGGCATCATAGCCATCTTCTATCCTGGGTCCCCCTGTGATCAGGGGCCTTTGTTCTCCATTGCAGCCCAGAGGGTCTTGCCTCACCTCTGCTTAGGGCACCCTGTGGGTGCAACATAATGAGGGTCAGCCTTTGCCCTCCCCTCTCCTCTGTTGGGGATGCTGGGTCCCTGCAGCCATGCACTAACTTGGAACATAAAACTGATAATCCTGAGAGTCAAGAGACCTCAATTCAAATCGTGCCTCTAAACTTGGGCTGCAAGTTCCTCACCCTTCCTGGCTTTAGACCCCAGATGTGCAGTGAGGCTGACAATCAAACGTCCACAGGGTTTGCAGTGAAAGACGGGAAGAGTGTGAGATGGGTCCACTGCCTGGGACCCAGCCAGGAGCCTGTCCTCTGTCTGGACCCACCGTAGCCTCTGGGCCTTTTGACTCAGAGCTGGAGAAAGGTTTGGAGGTGAGGAGATAGGGCTCTGGGTTAGGTCTCCCAGGGAAGGCAAGGGACAGAAGTTGATGACAACAGCCTGCAGAGCCATCCACCCTCTCTGGGTCTGGTGATGATGGACTCCTCTCAGTCCAGAAATCTGCTGCAAATGTCTCCCACAGAAAGACCTGGGACAGCAAGGTGGGAAGATTGCAGCGGGCTCTGGCTTAGCCCCATAGGATGCCCAGGGCTGGGCTTCCTGAAGCTAGAGGAATTTCCCAGGCTCAACTGGTGATACCCGGCCCCAGGTTACTCAGAGCAACAGCTCTGGCATCCACACTGGGGTCAGCCACAGCTCTGGCCCCAGGCCGCTGGGCGTGGCCTGCCCCTGTGCCCCAGGCTACCGGGAGGGGGAGGAGAGGCAACAGAGAAGAAGGGAGAAAGGTAGCTTCTTTACCAGAAGCCTTCCAAAAGGGACATCTCAGAGCCCTTGGGTTTGGGACGAATCAGGGAGGGCTGGTGGACACTGCCATCTGCTGGTTACTTGTTGTAACAGCAGTGCAGTGTTGAGGAACTTCCTACTTACTGGGAGAAGACTCAGGAACCAGTGCTCTGGGCCTCTGCAGGTGAACAAGCTCGCATGGGGCTGTAAGGTGTCCTGGGAGATGAGTGACAAGGACCATATGCTTCCATTGACCCAGGAAAAAGACTACAGTATAGGGTCATGATAAAGATCTGGCTTCCAATCCACTTTTGCTGTGTTCGAGCTTTGTGACCCTGATTAAATTAACCTCTGTCATCTTCTGTCTCTTTGTCTTTAAACAGGGACAGGGTTGCCTACTTATAAGGGGTGTGTCAAAGAGTAGATTAAATCAAGTAGGAAAAGTCCTTGCCCCAGTGCTGGCTCAGTTAAAAAAAAAAAAAATGGTGGCGTTTCATGCCATCTGGGTAAGTCCTGGTTTAACCAGTTGGAAGGCCAGCTCATCTAGCTTGTTCATTCAGTCTCCTGGGTGTGGCCACTGTCTTGGAGGCATTTCCCCTCTGTGGACTTGCTCACCATGGATTTCAGTATTCTGAATGTTCTGCAGCTGTGTCTTCAGTAGATTTTCTTGGAGACCTTTGTGGACACATGAGATTTAAAACAAACAAATAAACAAACAAACAAAAAACTACTTTTGGAAAAAAAGCTGCGGACTCTTTGTGCAATAATTTGGAATGCCCAGCCCTCCAGTCTTACTTAGATAGAGCTCAGGGTTTCTGTTCTAGACCCACAATGATTAGAGGAACCAAATTATCTGCCGCCTGGGAAGATAGGGGCTGACAGGAACAGAGTTGGAGGAACTAGAAGATGTGTCCACAGTCTAGGATATGAGACTTGCAGCCACCCCTGAGGATGACAATATTGGGAACAAATGATCCACCAGTTCCTGAAACAGAGTGTTGACCCGGAGGATCACAGGGCTGACCGGATCCTGGTGTCTGGGGATTGGCTGTCTCAGCTCTTCTGGTCCACATAGTAAAGGTGTCTGTGAGATTTGTCTGCAGGAGGCAGTCTCCGAGGCTGCCCCGCAAAGAACGAGGCACTTACAAAACTGGGAACCTGGCCCTAGGCTATGACTCCCCCATGTGCCCTCTCACCCTCATTTCCTAGGTAGCAGATCCATCCTAAATAAGGTGTTAATTTAGGGCAACTAAAACAGAGCCCAGCTAGGTTCTGTCCTCCGAGTCTTCATTCCTGGTTTGAATGAGGAGCTAGAGGACTCTAATCAAAATGCTTGTCCTCATTGCTGGGGACACAAATCTGGAAGTTAGTAAAAACACTGGGTTACAGAATCAACATCTAAAAAGTCATTAGCAAATCACTGCAAAATTGAAAGAATAATGAGATAGCACTTTTTTCCTCTCTAAATCTAGCAAAACTGAAAAATATGAAACCCGTTATTGGCAAAAGGATGGGCAAACGGGCACATCTACATATACCTTTGGCAGGAATATAAGTTCGTAGAGATTTTTCAAGAACATGGATCATGAAATACAGGCTATCTAAATTTAAAAAAAAAAGATTTTTCAAGAAGAGCATCAACATTTTAAAGAAGGAAAGGCTTTGATTCAGCACTTTTACTTTTCCCTTGTAAAAATGTTGTTTCATTTATAGCTATACTTGCACACGTGAAGATAAATATACAAGGTTTAAAATTGAGGTGATAATAAAAAGTGGAATAGATGATACTTAATCTAGTAAGGACAAAATGATAATATACCCTCAGAGTGAATTATGATTCCCCCAGTGTGAGACTGAGTTAGATCCACATGCATGGCTTGGAAATACGCCATGATATATTATACTGAGATACAGGGTGGGCAGAATAGAGAGGTGGGGCAAAGGGCTGATTCTCAGTTGTTCACACCCAAGCCAAAG
Source organism: Homo sapiens (assembly GCF_000001405.40). Classification (NCBI taxonomy): domain Eukaryota; kingdom Metazoa; phylum Chordata; class Mammalia; order Primates; family Hominidae; genus Homo; species Homo sapiens. The sequence goes on along the minus strand of NC_000002.12, from coordinate 20,659,774 downwards.
CCACACGGATAGACATGTTTCTGTCTGCCTGTCACTGCCCTGCCACCCCAGCCCTCAAACCTCCTTGGGACTCTCTCTTTCATCTTTCTGCTTTTACTCACATTTTACATCGTCAAACAATAAATCCTCCTTGGAGATCTTCATTATCAGATATCAAAATAAACCAATTCCCATATAGCACTGGAAGGAGGATTGACAGATCACGGGAACAGAATAGAATCCAGAAACAAATAACAATCTTTGAAAATATGTAGAAAAATAGTGACAATTCCAGTGAGGGAAAAGGATGACTTGTTTAATAAAAGTTACCAGTGAATGACACTAGATGCTTGATTAAGTATTTAGAGGGGGAAATAGACTCTTGTGACATAAACCAAAATTAATTCCTAGTGAATCAAAGAATTTATTAGAGACTGAAACTATTATAAGCGTATTTGGAGAAAATATGTAAATATTTATACAGTCTGGGTAAGGGATACTTTTCTGAGTTCATTGCAGGAACCAGCAAGAATTATGTCCATGGTTGGAGCTTCATAAAAATCTTAAAACATGCTTGTAAGAAAATTCTGAAAACAGAATTGACCTTAACCAAATAATCAAACTTAATGTCACTAATCATGGGGGAAATTGGCATCACGTGCTCTTGAAAGGGATTCCTCAGTGTGGCACTTCTGCCAAAGATTCATCTGCACCTAACAGATGAAACAATTAGACAAATCCAAACAGAGGCATATTCTGAACCACTGACCTAAACTCTTCAAAGATATCTATGTCATGAAAGATGAAAAAGCCCATTTTAGAATAAAGGAGACTAAAAGAACGTGATAATTAAATGCAATGCAGGATTTTCAGTTAGAGTCTTCACTGGGGGTGGGATGTCAGGATGGGAAGGTATGGGGAGCATTTGTTAGTAAAGACATTGTTTGGGCCGGGCGCGGTGGCTCACGCCTGTAATCCCAGCACTTTGGGAGGCCGAGGCGGGCGGATCACGAGGTCAGGAGATCGAGACCATCCCGGCTAAAACGGTGAAACCCCGTCTCTACTAAAAATACAAAAAAAAAATTAGCCGGGCGTAGTGGCGGGCGCCTGTGGTCCCAGCTGCTTGGGAGGCTGAGGCAGGAGAATGGCGTGAACCTGGGAGGCAGAGCTCGCAGTGAGCCGAGATCCCGCCACTGCACTCCAGCCTGGGCGACAGAGCGAGACTCCGTCTCAAAAAAAAAAAAAAAAAAAAAAAAAAAGATATTGTTTGAACAAATGGAGAAATTGGAACACAGATGGTATGTTAGACTGTTGTATCTATGTCAATTTTCCTGAGCATGATCATTGCACTGTGGTTATATAGGTGATATGGTTAGGCTTTGCGTCCCCACCCAAATCTCATCTTGAATTATAATCCTCATAATTCCCACGTGTCAAGGGAGAGACCAGGTGGAGGTAACTGAATCATGAGACAGTTTTTCCCATGCTGTTCTCATGATAGTGGGTGAGTTCTCATGAGATCTGATGGTTTTGTAAGGGGCTCTTCCCCCTTCTCTTGGCACGTCTTTCTGCTGCCTTGTGAAAAAGGTACCTTGCTTCCCTTTCAACTTCTGCCATGATTGTCAGTTTCCTGAGGCCTCCCCAGCCATGCTGAACTGTGAGTCAATTAAACCTCTTTCCTTTATAAATTACTCAGTCTTGGGTATGTCTTTATAGCAGTGTGAAAATGGACTAATACAGTAGGAGAATGCTCTCATTCGAAGGAGGTATATGCTGAAGTATTCAGAATGAAAGATCATTATATCTACAACTAACTCTTAAATGTTTCAAGGAAAAAAACACAGAAACAGAGAAAGAGAGGGTAAAACAAAGGTGGCAGAATGTTCACAGTTGTGCAGGGCATCTGTGGTGTACAGCCCAGCTGCCCTCTGGGGTTGAGGGTGGGGTGCTCAGGGACTAAGTGCTTACTTACTCTGCAGCTGCTGAGAAAGCTGGCAGCCTGCAGCCCTGCTTACCCTCTCTGAAGACAGGGAGGTGTAGCACCCAAGGTCAGGTAGCCTACATCCAGTGACTTGTCAATGTGGAGTGTAAAAGCCCCATCCCCACCTCCTCCCAATTCAGGATGACCTGGCAGGGCCATGCCAGCTCCGGAGCTCCCCCTGCAAAGGGCTGCGGCCTCTGCCATGATTGCAGATTGCATCCCAAGTTAGCACTCTCTGCCCAGGTAATTCCTAAAAAACTTCCTGCCCATCACCAGTCTCCATCTGAGCCAGAATCCCACCTGTGAGACTAGGGGAAGGGGTCACAGATGTGGTTATTAACCCTTCAACATTTCTGTGCCTTTGAAACATTCTCAAAATAAAAACTTAGGGGAAAAGTAGTTAAAAGACAAACAGGACACCATTTATCACAAAGGGTTAGTATCTTTAATGTGTAAAGCATTCTTACAGATCAACAAGAAAAAGACAAATGGAGCAAGCTTTTTCTCATGTGCAAAGGAAATAAACAGGATAGTCGCAAAGAAACAGAAGACCAACAAATAGGAGAAAGATGCTCAGCCGCACCTGTAATCATATAAATGTACTTAAGCAAGAAAGAGCATTTTCACTTCTCACACTTGAGAGGATGTAAGAAAATGAATCGGGGCTGGCGAGGTTTGGGGAAGACGTGCCTCATTCAGCTTTCCTGAGCACAGTTTAGTAGAGTGCAGATGTAAACCCATCTAATGCATCATGTCTCTGTGCTTCCAAGTTCTGGGACTTTCTACAATATCCAAACAAAATAGCTGGATTTGCTGTGCCTCAGGCAAAGATTCCTGAGGATCCCTAGAGCCTCGCTTCCACAGTCAGTCCAAGCTTCCTGACTCCTGTTGACTAGCCACTTCCAGGACTGTGGTGCACTGAGTACTAGACGCCATTTCCCTGAGACGAGGGTGCATAGTAGGCCCTGAAGGTTTGAGGTGGGGCGTCTTGGACAGAGCAGAGCAGGACTCAGTGGAGCCACTAAATGCCACCCACCAAGGTCTGCAGCCTTAGCTGGCCTGCCCTGGGCCTCCTCCAGGCGGCTGGGCCCCACGCCCCCTCCACAAGCCAGACCACCACCCAGAGCTCAGGAGCCGCAGGCAGACAATGCCTCCCAAATTCCTTTACAATGCAAAGCGATGAAGCACTGTCTCATTTCTCCCAATCTTCCAATCTCCTCTGCTGTTCAACAATAGCAATGCACACTGAAAGACTCAAGAAACAAGTTTCCCAAACAAGTTGGCACTTTTCTCCCAAGCCTTCTTCCTAGGGATCTGGCCTAAACACCAGCCAGCACTTCAAAGATCATCCACCCCGCTCAGTACTCCTCCAGTGCACCAGCTTTCCATCACATGTACACAGCTTAAGGACCAGAGAAGTCAGTTATTCTCCATCTGCATATGGTATTCTAAGGAGCCATTTAAAATTATGGTTTTGGAGGTCATTTTACATGGAAAGATGTTTACAGGATGGTAAATGAAAAAGCAAGTTACAAAATAGTATAGCTATTAAGATTCTGTATTATTTAAAAAAAAAGACTTATGTATAGGCATAGAAAAAAATGTCAGGAGAGAAGGAACAAAAAATTAGTACAATTGTTATATCTGGTATAGAATGAGAGGCGATTTTTATTTTTTAATTTTACTATCCCTATTTTCCAGCTTTTCTACCATGAGCATGAATTATTTCTACAGAATGGTTCCAAAAATTGTCTGCTTGTCCCCCTCTGGAAGAGGGGGCCCTACTCCCTTCTCCCCTTCCCACCTCCTGTCCCCTCCTCCACCCACTGGGACACTGCCCTCCTCGAGGCCAGAGAACACTTTTCTCTCTTCAAAGATTCTCTTCTTGACCAAACTGAGCTTTGAGCTCCTGAACCTTCTCTTAGACCTATGCATGCACTTCCTTGTAAAATCCAGTTTTAGGAAGAACGTGGCTAAGTCAGGTTACCAACATCCTCCCACCCTGCCTATCTGATCACCCTCGATATCCAACTGGGTTCCCCCTCCTCCACCATCCCCAGGTGATGTCTGACCATCCTGGCCCATCTTCAGCAAGAATCCTGTTAGGTCGGCATAGCCAGAGTCCCCCCATACTCGTCTTAGTAATGTTCCAGCCACCACTCCCACCCTGTTCCTTGGCTATAAATTCCTACTTTCTCATGCTGCATTCGGAATTTAGCCTAGTTCTATACTGGGGTCTCTTACCCCTATTGCAGTAGTCCCAAATAAAATCTGCTTTCACCACTTTAACTACTGTTCAGTTCTGTGGGGTTTTTTTGTTTGTTTTTCTTGAACACCTCCTTATCTTCCTGGATGTTCAGCAGTGTTTGGCATTGCTGATCACACCCCAGTCTCTTCCTGAAACACTCTTTTCCCTTTGTTCTGTGAGCCCACTCCCTCCTTCTTCAGGATAAGATGTGAGCTCCTTTGCATAGCGCACAAGGCCCTCTATGCTGCGGGAACACAGGCTCCTCTTGCCCTCTGCTGCCTCCTCTCCCAGCAATCCTTCCACATATTCTTCTCACCAGCTCCTCAGATACGCTCTGGTTCTATCAAGACGTACTAGGCTGAGCATGGTGGCTCACACCTGTAATCCTAGCACTTTGGGAGGCTCAGCAGGGCAGATTGCTCGAGCCCAGGAGTTCAAGGCCAGTCTGGGCAACATAGGGAAACCCTGTCTCTACAAAAAACACAAAAATTAGCTGGGCATGGTGGCACACACCTGTGATCCCAGCTACTTGGGAGGCTGAGGTGGGAGGATCACCTAAGCCCAAGGAGGTTGAGGCTACAGTGAGCTGTGATCATGCCACTGCGACAGAATGAGACCCTGTCTCAAAAAAAAAAAAAAAAAAAAAAAAAGACAAGCTGCCTTCCTAGTACACATTTTACCTCTTTTCTTCCTCCTCCTCAGTCATCCCTGCATCCCCTATGGAGCAGTTTTTATGTCAGGCATTATGTAAGTACTTTACAACTACACCAACAGGAAATCCACTGCAGAAAACCCCCACTTAGAGTGATTTAGGCATTTATGCAAGGAGAACTTTGTAGAAAAAGTCCAGGGCGTGTATGCAAGCTCATATGCCATCAGCTCCCCAGGCTTGTTCATCCCTAACATGGTAGACTCCAAACTCATGTCTGTGCCTCCTGCTCCCATGATGGCTGCTGTGTCTCCAACACTGTATCCCCTTCCCAGGTAGAAGACAAGGAAGGAGCGAAGAGTTTTCTCCTAGCAAGATAAATCCTCCACAGGGACTTAAGTATATGTGGTCAGTTATGTCACATGGCCCCTTGTAACTGAAATGGGACATGTGTTTTACTTCTCCAGCCTCTATGGTAATAAAAACCAGGAAGAAGGGGGTTGTGAATGGCTTCCGGTTAGCTCATCACCAATGCCTGCCATACATTTCATCTTGTTTCAGTCTCATTTTACCTCATGTAATTCAAGCAATGTTATGATTTAAAGGTTTCTGTTACGTGCATTTCACCAGTGAGAAAATCAAGTCTCAAAAAAATAATACCTACTTTTTACAACCCAGGTCTGCCATCACCTCCTCCTGGCAGAATTCTTTGTATGCCCAACCCTAGGCTGAGTTAGTTATGTGCCCTCCTCTGTGCACCATAGCACCCTAGGCGTGCATCCTTGTTGAAATCTCCAGCTGTCCTAGAGTGGCCTGTGAGCCCCTGCAGTGGGCTGTGAGCCCCACAGGATAAGGCTCTGTAGCCCCCAGGCCTGGGGAGATAACAGGCCTGGAGCTGTACCTATGAGTGTTTGCTGAGTGACAAGCAAGGTGGTGGCCCTGCTCCATGTGGATGTGCCCAGACCCTGGAGCTCTAAAGTATCACATTAGGGAACAGAGACAAATTATAAGGTCCCAGAAGACCCGAGCCACCATGGGAAACGTTGGTGCATGGCTCAGCCAGAGTTCAGAGCACCCCCTGCAGGCTGCGGGTGTCTCTCAGTGACCACAGTGTCCTGAGGCCCAGTGACTTCCTGGGTGGAAACTGAGGCCTGGAGTGTTCCTCCCAGGGCAGTGAGAAAGAGAGAAATAGAAAATCCTTTGCAATGTGGTTTGTGTTACCGCAGCTTCAGCCATGGAAGGGGCTCCTTGAATTAAACAGGAAGCAGAAAATATCAGATTTAGATCCCACATTCCATGCATTGTATACAATTACGCGCTGGAGCCATAGAGGGGCACGTGGGACCCACAGAGGCAGAAAATGGGATTGCTGTTGGGAATGGGGTCGTTCTTTCATGGGAAACCAGTTGCATTCTTGACAGGTGGGCCGAGTCTTCCTGAGGTGCACACTTCACAACCCCAGGGGCACAGGTGAGGCCCTCTCATTTGCTTACAAGGCATTGGTGACAGACATGCTACCAGCTCCCACAATGATGGAGAGTCCCCTTCTCTGCAGCCCCCCAACACCGCTGCATATCTCTGGATTGTAGACCATCCTTGGTGGGCTCACCCCAACTCTCAGGCTCAACAGCCTCCTTTTTACCCATGACTCCTATGTCAGTCTCCAGCCCAGGTCGGCTTCCTGAGGCCCAGGGCCATAAACCCAATCGCATCAATAGGTCCAGCCCTTCAAACACTGCCTGTCTGAAACAGAACCCATCATCCTACCAAAAATATGCTCCTTCTCCAGGTGCCCTGCCACAGAGAATGATACCAATGTCCAGCCACTCACAAGAGCCAAACCATAGTGGTATCTTATCTCTTCCCGCCCACACCCATTGGATTCCCAAGTCTTGACCAACTCCTTCTCCTAAGGCCCTCTTACCCGTCCCCTCTTCTCCACCTGGGTGGCCATCACCCTAGTTCATGGGACCATTGTCTCTTGTCTGGATTGTTCTGCAGTCCAGCTCATCTTCATACCTTCAACATGCTCCAAAACCCTGCCCACGCCCTAGCTGGCCCAGCCACTCCTATGTCCCTGACCCTCTGATGGCGCTGTGTTGGCCTCAGGATCAGGCAAAGCCCTGGCCTTGGTGCACTAGGCTGTCCACACCCTGGCTCCTGCTGGCCTCTTCCCCCTGTTCCCTGGTGTTCCTATCCTGTCGCTAGGGCTTTGCACGTGACATTCCTTCTAATCTATTCTATCCATATTTCTTCAGGTTTTCCCTTGGACTTCAGCTCCTTTAGAAAGCCTTTCCAGACCCCCACCCACTCCCCATGTAGGAGGGCAAAGAAGTCCACTGAAGGCATCTAAAGTGTCTTATTCACTGTGTTTCTGTCTGTTGGATAAATGTGAGTGCAATGGTGACTGCTCGACTGCCTGGCACTACACTCAGACTCCTGGAATGCTGAAGCCTATACTGCTTTCTGTCCAGACCCTGAACTCCCTTTCTCTAAAGTAGGGCATGCCAATTTAAACAAAACACGGAGGACCATTTGCAGCCATGAACACGGCCCTGCAGACGGACAGGCCGATGAGCAGCAGAGCAGACAGGGGTTCCCGCCATCATCCCAGCTCTTCACTGCAGCCTTCAAGGGTCTCCCTCAGAACTTTCATTCATTGTCATACTTCATTCATGATTGCTCATCTTGCCTATAAACAAATCTGAGACAAATAATAAGGCATATCAATGTCCGTATTTATTCAAGAGATACATTGGGGAAAGTCATTTTTCAAAATCTTTTACTGTAGGATTTCTTCACTAAAATCTGTAAAAACTGGTAGATATTGTTGGTGATGCTGGTGGCGGTGGTTGATAGGCTCAGGAAACATGGCTGACATCGCCCTGCCGTGAATTCTGGTATAGTTAAGCCCAGCTTCTCTTTCTTTTTGTCACTGGGGCTCTGGGTGGAGGGAGTAACAGAACAGGGGCAGCAGTTTGCACCTTCTGCTGGCCCTGTTTGCAGACTCAGCTTTTCTTTCCCTGGGCTACGTTGGCAGGTGATACGATCTCTCTGTTCCTCACCCCATGGAGAGGTGAATCTAAAATGAGTGGGTCTGTTAGGGTCTGCATGTCTGTACGTTCCCCTTCTGAGGGGAACTGGCTCCTGGACCCCGTTGCCCTGCTCCAGCTGGGGACCCAAGTGCAGCCATCCCAGGCAGGCCCGGCCCCGGGAGGCCTCCACCAGGGCTCTGCCAAGCAGCAGAGGCTGCCTCTCTAAAGATCCCCTGTCGGGAGAGTGCCTGCCATTTATGGAGCGGGCAGGCAGTAGGAACCAGATAGGCGAGCTAGCTGGAGGCAGCAAGCTCAAGGGGACTGGGCTGCTGCGTGGCGTTCACTGTGCAGCTTGAAGAAGACCCCACGAAGCCTGGACAGAGCCCCAGCTTGGTAAATATTTGTTGACCGATCGGTTGAATGAAATGGTCTTGGGGCAGAGGGGGAGTGGTTTTGTAATGGGGACTGGCGGCGGAAACAGCAGAGTCCCGTCTCTCTAACGGCTAAACTTTAGCGCAAAACAGACACACCGATTAAGGTTCACCGTGTGCCAGGGCCAGGCTGGGCTTCTTCTAGGTGGTTGCGGCGGGCGCGGCTCAGCCTGGGTGCTCCGGAAGCTCCGAGCAGCGCAGGCCGACGGCGACCGTGCGGGACCCGCCCAGCCGCGCTTCCGCCCCGCCTCTGGCCACAGGCGCGAACTGCGCGGCCGCTGCCACCAGGGGGCAGGCCAGGGCAGCGGGAGGCAGGGCGGGGACGCGGTGACGCGGGCACTGCCGGGTCCCGTGACTGCGCGCCCCGCCCGGAGTCCCCGCCGCCGTCATGCAGTCCCCGGCGGTGCTCGTCACCTCCAGGTGAGCCAGACCCCCGCGCCCCACACCGCACAGCTCGCAGTCCGGGGCGCCCGGGCGGAGAGGCGGGGGGAGGCCGCCGCCTCCTAGGCCAGGGACCTGGTGCAGGTCTCCCCAGCGCCCTCGGTGGCTTATCCGGGCTGGGCCCCTGCACCGCCCTGCAGGAGAGGTGGCGACCCCGATTTACAGATGAGGAAACCGAGGCCCTCTGGAGGGTAGAGAACTAGCCAAGGACAGCGGGAGCCCTGGGACTGACTGGTTCAGTGCAGGCGGGCGCAGTGGGGACTCTGCTCTCCTTTCCTACCGCCTTGGGTTCTTCTCTTTTGAGCCCGAAAATCTAGTTCCCCATCCTTTCAGAGCTCCCTGAGTCCCAGGCCCGGTGCTGGGCACTGGGGACAGAGGCGAATCAGACAAGCTCGCCCTGCAGGGGGCTGCAGCGGAGAGGGGGTGATGCCAGCAGCGGGTAGTAAGCTCAGGTTGCCATGGGAACACAGTACAGGGCAGGAACCCGGTTTCTGGGAGGATGAGTTTGATGAGAGACCAGGGAGAGGTCGTTGCTGCTTGCGAGGCAGCTCAGGAGAGCGCAAGTTACAGCAAAAGCCTTGGAGGGGTCCAGGCGGAGGATGCAGAATGGGTCGGCCCTGATCGAGACCTGGAGGACCCAGCCCAAGGTGGATCCTGGCAAGGCTGGGAGGCACGTGCTTTTACTTCTTTCCGCCTTTAAAACGCTGTAAAGTGATTTACTTCAAATATTTTCATACACTTCACCCTTGCTCTCCCTACACAAAGTCTTAGGCTAAGATGCCAATTTATGACATAAATGAACGTGTTACCCAGCCAACTGTTGATCTTCCAGTTGTAATCAGGAATTCCCCGTGACTTCAGGTCTAGAAAGGTATGATTCCTTTTGTAAACCCTGATGTCGGAGGCTGCTTGGTCTTTCATGATCAAGTGTGGTTACAGTTGTATCTTCATGGGCAGAAGAGGTTTCCCTACTGCCACTTACGTCACCTCCTCTCACCAAGCCTCAGTTTCCTTTTCTGTGAATTGGAGGTTTCAGATTGGCAGGCATGAGCAACGTCAGTAGTATATGCCCCTCAGCCATGTGCAGATGGATGGGGTGTGACTTTGGTGCTGGGTGCTTGGGATGGGGTGGGTGGCTTCCCTCCCTGCCCCGCTGCACAGCCTGGACGTGGCTTGTTAACAGATGTGGGGGCGCTGGCGGTGGTAAGGCCACATGAGTCAGGCTCATTTCTTGCTGAGGGCACCAGCACACCCAAGGATCTTGCCTGCAGGGTGAGTCCAAACGCCTTAGCCCAGCAGCAAGGCCGGCCCTTCCCAGTCGCACCCCAGCTCCTCTTTCCAGCCCGATCTCCTCCCACATGTCATTGCCACATGCACTCAAGCTTGAATTCAGCCAGAAGGTGTTTATCGAGAGCCTTCTCTGTACCGGGTACTGGCCCTAGTTCTAGGAGACAAACAAGTCCCTCTCGTAGAGCTTTAATGAGGGCACAGGCCCAGTGGGCAAATCTACGACATGTCAGGGATGATACATGCTATGAAGGAAAACAAAACAGTGGGGGCAACAGAGTGGTAGGAGGCATGCATGCTGTTTTCTATGGTGTGGTAAAGAGGCATCTTTCTGATGGAGTGGCGCCTGGACAGATCCCGGACAAGCTCCATGAGGGAGAGAGCCATGAAAAAGAAATCTTGGAAAAGTGTGTACTGGGAGGACAGGACAGCAGGAGCCAGGGTCCCGAGGCTGGTATGCTGGAGTGGAGTGAGCCCAGGGAGAGTGTTAGGTGATGCGGTGAAGAGGCAAGCTTGGGAGTGAAGGATGATCAGGAAAGGCCGAGAAGGCTGTGGAGGGGCCATCAGATTTAATTTCAAGTGCAATAGGGCCCAACTTCTGGTTTATAGAGATCCTTTGGCTGCTATGCTGAGCATGGGCAGTGGCCGAGCTGAGCATTCAGGACAGGCTTGTAGGTTTCCATGTAGAGCCGGTGGTGGCTTGGCCCGGGGTGATGGCGGCCGTGAGGGTGAGAAATGTTTGGGTTCTCGATATATTTTGAAGATTGAGCTTTCAGGTTTGCTGATGCTTGGATATGGGGTGTGAGAACAAGAAGAGAAGTTAAGACTAACGGCAAGTCTCTCAGCCTAAGCTGCTGGAAGAATGAGGCTGCCCTTTAGCAGGCTTGGGGAGAGGTAGAAGCAGCATTTGTGTAGACAGGTGAGTTTTGAGAAGCTCGTTGACAGCCCAGTGGGGATGTCAGGCAGCTGCAGCTGGAAGGAGGCTGGCTGTGAGGGGAGAGTGAGCTAAAGATGGGAGTTGGGGAGCCATTGGCTCGGAAATGGTATTTAAAGCCTGGAGCCTGGATGAGATCACCTGGGGAGGGGTACAGTGAGAGGAAGAAGGAGGGTGCTCTGGATGCTATCAAGGGGAACCATCCAAAGCAGTTCCTCTCCTCCTGTTTGAGCAAGAGTGGCCAGGGTGGGCAGAGAAGAACCAAGAGTGAGGGGGTGCTCCAGCCACCAGTGAAGGCAGAGCTTGAAGGAGGGGAGTGGCTGACTGTGCCCACTGCTGCTGACAAGTCAGACCAGAGGAGAAATGAGGATTCACCTTTGGATTTAACCACATGGAGGTCGCAGATGACCTGGGCGTGGGCAGTTTGTTGCATGATGAGGACCAAAGTCTGGCTGGAAAGGGTTCAAGATCAAACAGGAGGAGAGGAACCCATGAATATGGGGCCCTCTGTTGAGGAGTTCTGCTGGAAAGGGCAGGAGGGAAACGGAGCAAGGGGAATGTCGGGTCAAAGCACAGCTTTTGTTACATGAGTGGTCAGAGCATGGTTGCATGCTAATAAGCGTGGGCCAGTAAGGAAGGAAAATCGATGGTGCGAAAAAGAGGGGTGAGCTGCAGCAGCTATGTCCTTCAGTAGGTGGGAGGGCCTCGGAGCCGCTGCCCTGGTAGAAGGTTGGCCTTAGGAGCAGCCAGCCAGTTTGTCTACAGTCCCAGGAGAGGGCAGCTATCAGGGAGCAGCTGCAGGCTGATGGGCAGATGTGACAGCGAAGCCTAGGATGTTCTCCGATGGTCTCTGGAGCAGTACACAGCAGTGTCCACATCACTTGGGAATTTGCTAGAGATGGTGAGGGCACACCCCGGGGCCTGCAGAACCAGAATCTGCATATTAACAGGATCCCCAGGGGGTTGCACGCACATTACAGTTGGAGAAGCTTGGTCTAGGGCACATCCTGCCCACCACACCCCCATTTGTTTATGTACTCTCCGTAGCAGCTGCAGCAGAGACCAGATACCCTACACAGCCTGAAATATTTGCTATCTGACCCTGTAGAGAAAGTTTTCCTATGGGTTCAGGGAAGTGGGAGGGTGATGGAGTAGGCCCAGGTGCATCAGACTCGTCGGAGGGCTTACTAAGAAAACAAGATGGCTGGCCACCCTAGGCCCGAACATGCCTTTCTTACAAGTTCCCAGGCGATGCTGATCCTGATCCAGGGACCACACTTTGAGAACCCCACATCTAGGGCAAGGTAGGGTTGCCAAGCCTGGTGTGGTGCTGTGCCTTCAAGTCTGCAGCCATGAATTTCAATGGGACCAGGCTGCATGTTTACACCATGTCTGTCCCCAGTCACGTTGAGCCACTTGGGCACAGGGTGAAGGAAGCAGAGAACTGGAGAAGTGGGCTTTGACCAGGCCAGCTCAGCTCTGGGTAAGAAGTCAGGGGAGCTGGGCCTAAGGCAGAGGGATTCCAGCAATGGAATGGGACCCTGGAAAAGGGGTGGGGTTATGGATTGTGGGTTCTGGCGTGGTCAGAGAACCATTGGATGTGGGGTGCTGTGAGGGAGCTGGATCGTGGGAGGTGCCCATCTGGGTCTGCTCCATCCCTTTCCCACCCCTGAGAGGACCTCCCCGCAGCTCAGGCACTGCCCTTCTTGTCACTTTCACCCCCCTGTGCCTCGTTTTCATCATGATCCTAAAGAAATGATGCCTGGCTTCTTTCTCATGCCTGCCCCATAAGAGGCCACCTGGGCTCTGGAGCAGCTGCCTGGGATTGAACGCAGCTCCACCTCATGCCGGGTGAGACCTGGGCAGGCACTTTCCCTTTAGGGGTCTGTTTCCCTGTATTTTAAGTGGGTCTGGGTAGCAGAGCTCCTTCGCAGGGTTGCAGGAGGCGGAAGTGACTTCACACAGGTGCATCCCTAGAGCCCAGCGCGTCTCCCCTCAGCATCCAGCCTCACCTTCCTCCTCCACACTGGTGGCAGTGACACCGTGGGTGACACCAGGCCGCGCGTGCACACTGCGTGAACTCGGTGCCGTTGGCAGAGGGCTGGCTGTGCGTGTGCACCTCCCAGTGCCCATTCGGCCCTTGCTGCACTTTTCACCACCTGAAGGCAGGTTGCCTGGGGTGCCCTACGCCGCGGGAGGATATTCCTTGTGTGTACAGCACTCAGTCATTGGGTGTCATACATGGCATAGGAGACGCATCACTGTAGGCCTCACCAGTTGGTGACAGCAGCGTTGTGCTGGTGACAGCGTGGCCTAGCGTGGGATGTGAGGGGTCCGTGTGGGAGGAGTGCTGGGGCAGGGGGATTTGATGGATTGGGGTATAATTCCAGAGAGGGAAGGGCCTTGCCCCAGACACAGGTTAAGCTCCAGAAGCTCCTCCCGTGTTTTCAGGGTCCTGCCCAGCACACAGGAGGTCTCACCTCGATGGTCAGAGCTGCTCAGAGGGTGCCCCACGTGTCCTGCCAGAGGTGTTTGCGTGAGGGATGTTAGTCTGCACAGGTCTGTGTCTCACCTTATGTAGGATGAGGGATGTATTTAATAACTTTTTCCACTTCAAGAAAAACATCTCATCACTTCTTTGCTCATCATACAATTCATTATATTCGAATTGCATTTTACAAATCTCCAAGAGCGGTGATGTTTTGCCGATGCATCCTCTCTACACCTCGAGGGGCAGCATCGACTGCCCAGATGAGGGACGGGCCTATCAGTGCCTCTCTGGGCCACGGTGGGTCACAAGGGTCCTGCCTCCAGTGCTCGTCCCGTGTCCCCCCCAGGGGGCCTGTAGCAGCCCTCCTGCCCATTAGCCAAAGAGAGGTGCCTGTCTCCAGCTGGGATTTCAATCCCTTGCTGTCCCTGCAGCCCCAGGCATGTTCCTTGGTCTGAGTAGAGGCCCTAGGATGCTGCTCCCACCCATTCTGCACAGAGTTTGTGTCGATCCCTTTCAACAAGCCCCATCCTTTCCTGTTTTCCTGCAGGGAGCAGACCTTTGTCCCTGAGCAACCCAAAGGCAGGACCAGGTCCGAGGCCTCGAGGCCTGGGAAGCCAGGCTTATGAGGGCTGGTGTGGCGGGATGGGTGGCCTGGAGCAGTGACCACTGAGGACAGCCAGCAGAGTCACCTGGCACCCAGGCCTGCCAGGCACCCAGAGGCCCTGCCTGCACTTTGCTCGGGAAGCCTACTGCCTTGACCCTGAACCCCACCTGCCTTCTTTTCCCCTGGCAGGCGACTTCAGAATGCCCACACTGGCCTCGACCTGACTGTGCCCCAGCACCAGGAGGTACGGGGCAAGATGATGTCTGGACACGTGGAGTACCAGATCCTGGTGGTGACCCGTCTGGCTGCGTTCAAGTCGGCCAAGCACAGGCCCGAGGATGTCGTCCAGTTCTTGGTGAGCCGGAGGCTCTGGCCAGGATGTTTCGAGGGTGCCCGGGGTCCGGGCGGGCAGACACATCTGCCCACCAGGGTTCAAGTAGCATCCAGAGCAAGTGCTTCTCTGTCTGTTGCTTGCTCAGGGCCTGGAGTACCAGACCATGCTAGACAGAAGGGACACAGGGTGAATCAGACGCTCTCAGTCCGTGGAGAGGCAGACCTCTAAAGAGACAGATACAGATGGGGACAGGAGCACCTGGGGGGCTCTGGGGGTATAGAGAAGGGGCACCTAACTGACCCTGGGGAAACTTCTTGGAAGAGGCGGTGGCTGAGCTGTGTTTTGAGGAACAGATGGGGCTCAGCAGGAGAGGTGAGAAGGGTGTCCCGGGCAGACAACACATCCTAAGCAAAGGCACGGAGGTTGGAAATAGGACATTGAGTGGGAACTCTGCACAGTTGAGTGTGGTCCTGGGAGGAAGCGGGGAAGATGAAGGTGAGTGACAGGCAGGATCCAGATTGTGGAGAGTCTGCGGGAGCCTGGACTTAACCTGCAGCCAAGGAGAGTTTTAAGCAGGGGAGTGACGTGGACCCTTTTGCCTTTAACCAGCCAATCTGCTGAGAGCATGGAGTTGGATTGGAAGGAACAAAACAGGTGTCAGGGAGCCCAGATACATGGCCAATATGGTCATTCCCAAATCAAGGGCTTGGAGCAGGCCAGTTGCACTTGGTATGGAAGGGAAAGGGAGAGTTGAAAATGTTTACTGGGTAACATGCACCACATTTGCTGACTGTTTCCACCAACTGAAATAAAGAATATGATGGAGGAGCAGACCTAGGGGGCATGTGGAGTGTGAAGTGTCTGCCCTGTGGATGGATACATGAGGCTGGAGCTCGGGACGAGCTCAGGCCTGAGATGTAGGCTTGGGAGTCATCAACTTGGAGGTGATATTAAAAATCTGGGAGTGGATCAAGTTGCCCAGAGAACAGAAGTGGAAGGCAGAGAGAAGGGCTGAGGAGGAAATCCTGAGGATGCCAGGGGTTCAGGGACTCTTGGGGAGAAGGAGGAGTCTGCAGTTGAGGCAGAGAGGAGAGAACTGGGTGGGTATCTACGGAGTCAGAGGAGCTAAGGGAGGAGAGAATTTCAAGAGGGTTGAGATCACACACTCATTGGCTTATTATTTACCATTTGGCCTCTTGTGAAAAGGACCTGCAGCTGGAGACCAAGAGACACAGGTCCAGGATTATTAGGACAAAGGTGAAATGAACTAGACCCCGAAGTACAGCAGGGAGTGACACGGGGCTAGCTTGGAGTCTCCTGGCAACCAAGATAAAAAGGGAAACGATGAGTTGCATCTTTCTGGTGACCTGTTGAAAGAGACACTAAATTTTAAGAGAAATTTACAGCACAAATGTTTCCTTTTTTTAAGAGATAGGATCTCCCTCTGTTCCCCAGACTGGAGTGCAGTAGTGTGATCATAGCTCAGTGCAGCCTGGAACTCCTGGGCTCAAGCAATCCTCCTGCCTCAGCCTCCTAAGTATCTAGGACTACAGGCACACACCACCATGCCCAGCTTTTTCTTTTTTAATTTTTTTGGTAGACATAGTGTCTTGTTATGTTGTCCAGGCTGGTCTCAAACTCCTCAAGCTGGGCTTAAGCAATCCTCCTGCCTCAGCCTCCCAAAGTGCTGGGATTACAGGTGTGAACCCCCACGCCCAGCCACACAATTTTAAGGGACATTCAACAACGTCATGAGAAGCGTCTAGAATAGCAATGCTGTTTTTCATTTGATTGCTCCTGTGGCCGACTCTTGGTGAGAAGCAACGTGTGATGTCAGGGGTGATTCTGGGCCTGCATTGCTCTGAGAGTGAATCTGCTTTACAGGGTGCTTTGCAGCTCCTGGTAATTTGACTTGATCCAGGTTGGAGCTCAATGCACCCACATTTTCAGAGACAGGAGCAGAAGAGGAGAGTATTTGAGCTTGATGTTGCGGGGCATGAAGGAGGGAGCATTCTGGGAAGCTTGGGCTTCAGCCGCCCAGCCCACTTGGTTCTGTGCAGAGGGCCGGCCTTACATGCAAGGTGTACATGAGGGTGTTTTAACACCTCCATGAATCACACTAGTGCCACTTTTTCCTAGGCAGTGACGCCCACTCCTCGTGGAGTGTGTGCGTGCAGGGGCTTGTCAGACATTTGAAAGTACTTGCGAGGGCAAAGAACTCCTTTACTCCCCATGGGATCTCAGGATGGAGCCTAAAGTTACATACCCCCAAGCCTGAAGTCTCTTTGATGTTTCATGAATTAACTCAAAGAATTAATGAGCATTTTGTATCTACTTAAAAGGGCATATGTGTTTTAATATAAACGTGTACTGATTTGCTGACCATGGAGTAAAACAGCCGCAGGAGGGGGCACCGCAGTGGAGGTTGTGCAGGCTCTTGGATGTGCTAGCAGTGCAGACACCCACAAGCTTACTAACGTTACAGGGCTGTCTGCCCCGTGCTCAGCAGTGCCTGGCACACGGGGGCACCAGATAAATGTGAGTTCTCAACCTTGAGCTTCCTCTGCTCAGGGTCTCTTACTTGGCCTCCTCTTGTTGCTGGTGCAGATGCCCACCCAAGAAGCCCTGCCTGAACCCCTGATGGACGTGGGCCCTGGGTGGGGTGGGAGCCCAGGCCTACAGCTCCGGAGTACTCACGATGCCAGTGCCCTGGAGATGGAGGTTCCCCGAGCCTGGATATGCTGGGTCTGTGGTCTGAGCCTGAGGGGAGCAGTCGGGCCAGCAGGGGGCGCCCGGCCCCCACCGTGGCCTGCTCTGCGGGCCGGGCTGGAGTCACAGCTGCTGTCGGAGCCTGTGTTAGCAATCGCTCTGGGAAGGGGTCCGTGTGCCTTTCCCTGAGGGCTGTTTTCAGGAAAGTCTGGAGCCAGGCTCTTGTGCTGACAACTGCAAGCAGCACCTGTCCCAGGTGACTCCCCACTGGAGGTTCTGAAATCCCCCCAGCTGCCTCCTGGTATCTTGACCCTTCACAGGCTGGGCATTCTGGGTGGTGTTGCTGGAGCCAAGGATGTGTGTTCCAGACACACCCTGCACCAAGGGATCTCCCCGAGCCCGAGGGCGTCAGATGCCCGCAGCCCCTGCACGCCAGCACTCCAGTGGCACACTGTGGGCACAGTCCGGGCCTGGGAGCATAAGAGTGAGTGACCCACACTTCAGTCGGGGGAGACAGGCCCAGTCTATGGGGAAAGCACAGAGGAGCGAGGAGTGAGGGTAGGTGCCAGGATGATGGTGTGTGCATACAGCAGGTGATAGAGGAGCTAGGAGTGAGGGTAGGTGCCAGGCCGATGGTGTGTGTATACAGCAGGTGACTTCGCTGAGCACCCACATGGTTACAGACACGGCGATGGCACTGAAACCACTGTGAGACTGAGAGCCTGCTGGGGTGTCTCTGTACAGAGTGAACATGCAGCAAGAGCTCCGTGAGTGAAGGGGTGAAGGCTTAGCTGCCCAGGAGCTGTGGGGAGAGGCCAAGGAGGCAGCGGGAGTCAGCCGCTGGCCCCACGGGAAGCTGAGTGCTGCCCTCTCTGAGTCAGATGGTGCTCAAGGCTGCCTTCTGATGACAGCAAGAGTCCTGGCCTGCTTGACTCGGGTGCCTGCGTGCAGAGAGGTCCTGCCTGACGCAGGGCAGAGAACAAGCCTTGGAAATATCTGTCTCCACTGCTTGCATTGGCTGGCCCGCCGAAGGCCACACTGGTTCACGGGAGAATGAGGTTGGTGCTGAGAACAGATGATTCACGGTGTTGCAGGAAGATGACCTGCCAGCCGGTGAGATCACCCTCCTGATATGCAGAAAGCTGGGAATGAACACAGTGGCCCTGATCACGTGCAGGCTGGGCAGGGGTCCCTGTATCAAATCTTGTTAACTGGACCTGTGACAGTGTCCAGAATGGCACCGTTATTGCATCTTTCCTCTGGGCCACTAAGATGTTTTTATTGAATCTGCTATCGGCCAGGCGTGTTAAGGACTGGAGCCTGAGGCTGGGAGACAGGCAGAGGGGCAGCAGGCGGGCGTACCTGGCACACTTCCTTTGGCTGCTGGGCCTTGGGAACCCCTGGTCGGGGTGAGAAAGGAGCACTGCCTGCCACTCTTCACTCAGGAAACCACATGCTCCTCTCATTCCAGGTCTCCAAAAAGTACAGCGAGATTGAGGAGTTTTACCAGAAACTGAGCAGTCGTTATGCAGCAGCCAGCCTCCCCCCACTACCCAGGAAGGTCCTGTTTGTTGGGGAGTCTGACATCCGGGAGAGGAGAGCCGTGTTCAATGAGATCCTGCGCTGTGTCTCCAAGGATGCCGAGTTGGCAGGCAGC
This sequence comes from Homo sapiens, assembly GCF_000001405.40. NCBI lineage: Eukaryota > Metazoa > Chordata > Mammalia > Primates > Hominidae > Homo > Homo sapiens. Next base: position 20,640,994 of record NC_000002.12, on the reverse strand, counting down.
CCAGAGCTGCTAGAGTTCTTAGGTACCCAAGGCTCTGCCCCATGTCCCTCAGGTCTCCCCGGCCCAGAACTAGGCCCCGCTGCCGTGCCCCAGTGGGAGCATGTCCACAGCTGCCTCTGCAGCCTGGAGGCTTCAGCCAGGCTGGTGAGGCAGGTGGCCTCGCTGACATCCTTGGCTGGATGGTGGGCAGAAGGAGGCCTACCCTTGAGGGACTGAACGTCTGGCTGTCAGGTGGGGGCTCACACAGCAGGCATTCTCCATAGTGTGACCCCATCCATGGCCTTCCTGGCCAGCCCCATTCCTAGAGCTTGCCCGACACCCCCCGACTGACCATGCACCACATACAACCCCCTGACACACACCCCACACTCCCCTCTGCCTCCTCCAACCAGCCCTAGGGACCTGCAGTATCCCGGGAAAGCTGTGTTCTCACAGCCTGGCTGGTGACCTGCCCCTGGGGACATGTGCTTCTCACCTGTGCCCCCACAGAGAGGGTCATGGGGACAGCTCCGGGCTGAGGAATTGATCCAGCACCCCTGCCCCCAGTGGTGGAGACGTCAAGCCCTTCCCATGGGTGTCCTGGCCCTGTCTTCTCTCCTCAGTTTTCTCATCTGTAAGGTGGGAGTAGCCTGGCTGATAGGCCGTTATGAGAATTTACAGAGCTAACACATGCAAAGTCCTTAGAACAGAAACAACCACAGTAAATAGTGGCTACAATTTTACCCCACTCCTCGGTTAGTCCTGTCAACCCAGAACCCCCGTGGGGCAGGCCCTGGTCTCACAGATGCCCCCAGGACAAGGCAGGTTCTCACCACTGCTGGTGCCGGACTCCCACCCCTTCTCCCCTCTTTACATCCGTCTGCTTAACTCCTTCCCAGCTACTGTGGATCTCCTAGTTCCACAAGACAGAAGGGAAGTTTTCAAAAGAAAGTTGACCGTAAATAAAACAAATTATTTAAAGTGAAAGGTGGGGAAGAGAAGCAAAACTGGTGAATGCGCAGGCCTAGGACTGGACAAGCTGCACAGCCCCGGTGTCCTGTGGCCATGTTGGGCCCCTCACATGGGTCTGGGTTCTCTTCTGCCCTTGTTGTTCCAAGGTCACAACCCTTCCTTCCTTGCCTGTCTCTGGGGCTGGGTAGACTGTGCCAAGAGGTTCCAGCTCAGCCATCGCTGGAAGAGATGCTCAGGATGTCCCAGCCCCTCTCTGGTGGAGAGGCAGGATAGAAACACAAGCTGCTCTATGCCTCACTTTGCTCATCTGCAAGATGGATGTACAGTAGGGATCTCTCTCATAGGGCTTTTGTGATGTTTAAATGTAAGATGCTTATGACATGAAATTGAAGGTTTGGGAGATTTTGAATGGCTTTTCACATTTGTCCAAGTAAAATAACAGAGCATCACATAATACGATATCGTCATTATCACTCAGTGCATCCTGTATGCCAGACACTCTCTAAGTTCTTTACCTACAAGGTGATTTTATTAAAAGTCAGTTGTTTTAAACTACCCAGTAAGCACTTGGATAGAAATGAACAAATAGTCTGAGCCCACGCTTCTCAAACTATCTGTGGCAAGGGCTAGCTCTTTTATTCCCAGCCTGTCACAGATGGATACTTTCACAAATACAAAAGCACACTTGGGTATTGTGATGATGGCAGCATGCTATGAAGTTTCTGGATGCTTGCTCTCCCTTTCTCTACTTACCTCATTGTGGTCACACAGGGGGCATTCTCTGTCTGAAGACCACACTTCAAGAAGCGCTCATCTAAGCCAGTTTGTAATGGAGTGATTACCGTTTGTTCTGGAATCTTCCACATGCTTACCCTGGGCACCCATCCAGTCCACAGTCCAGGTGCCCAGACTCTCGGGGCAGGTCTCTGTCTGCAGAGTTCCTTGCCGTGCCTCCAACTGTAAATGGTTCTGGCTGTACTGGTTCTTTTTGAATCACCCTGTGCCCTGGCTGTTGTATCCCACCGCTCACCCGGGAGGAGGGTGCAGCCATCCCTGCGGCGCACACAGGCTCTGGGCCTTGGGTTCAGGAACCGCTGCCCCTGTCTTGCTCTGAAGCTCCCACTTGTGACCACTCCACTCCAGGCTTCCTTGGTGCCCGTCAGCCCTTGGGGGGCTGCAGCAGGCACTTGGCTGCCCCCGAAACGGAGGTCACCTTCCATCCACCCAGACTCGCCATCCTGCTTAGGTCCCAGGAGGGACGAGTTTGGTCCCAGGAGGCTGCAGGAAGCCCTCGGCCTCAGATCCTGGCATGGGAGGGTGCAGTGTGGCAAGATGCCTCCCCTGGCTCTGGGGTGGTTACCAAGTCCATTCTTTTCTGTCTTCCTCCACAGGTACCAGATCCCCAGGGGCTGCAGGGCTCACCAGCAGAGATTCCTCTGTCCTGGATGGCACAGACAGTCAGACAGGGAATGATGAAGAGGCTTTCGACTTTTTTGAGGAGCAAGACCAAGTGGCAGAAGAGGGTCCGCCCGTCCAGAGCCTGAAGGGCGAGGATGCTGAGGAATCCTTGGAGGAGGAGGAGGCGCTGGACCCTCTGGGCATTATGCGGTTGGTCTCCTGTTGTTGAGAGGGCCCCTTTGGTGTATTCCAGGCTTTCTGGAGATGACGTCCCCCTTCCCTGGAATCTGAGAAAAGCCCTGAGCATCCCAGGTCGCCCCCTCGCAGGGATCTGGGCCACGAGGCCTTGGCCTGGTGTGTTGGGGGAAGTAGCTCTCTGCGTGCCCTTGGTGGTGTGCATGTCTCTGGGACTGGGCTTAGGTGTCGCCTCCCTTCTCGGGTCACAGGATGTCCTCCACTTGTGGCTCCGCACTGGGGCTTGGTAGAGTCCTCCGTGACAGCTCAGTAGTGCAGGCTGCGGGCCTGTCCGGCTAGTGTGGGAGGACTGGGTGCTCCTTCCAGCTGTGGGACTCGCAGAGGTGGCTGCGGCTCTCTGGGCTGCATCATCTGCATAGCAGGAGCATTCACCTTGGCCCTGCCTCCACACAGGGCCATTCACCAGCCATACATCTCTGGCCATTTACAATCTCTTTTCTTCGGTTTTCCTCAGTGAAAATGGACTCATGGTCGTATCAACCTCTTAGGGCTCCTGTGACGATGAACTGAGTTATGTAAATTTAGCAATCAGCTACCATCATGGCCCCATCTTTCAGTGGAATCAGACCAGGCCAGGGGTGCTGTCCTCCCCGCTCTCTACCACAACGAATGTCTCTTAGCCGTTTACCAAAGCCCTCGGGCGCCAGATGAGTGTAGGTCCTGCCGCAGAAAGGAATTAGAGCCCAGTAGAAATTAGGCAGAAGCAAGTTCAACTTCATCAGCATGTAGAATTCTCTCCTAAAATCACAGCCCACTCTGGAAAGGCCTTCTTCGTGGGGAGGGTTATGGGAGGGTGGGCTGCAGGGTGGCCATGAGACCAGCGTCCAGGGGTGAGGATTTGCACTGGGAAAGGGTACGCGGCGCTCAGGGAGCTGCAGCAGAAACAGGCCTGAGATCTGGGGTCCTGCGGCACCTGGGCACAGCAAGTGCCCTGCAGTCGCTCCTCCTGGCCCTCCGTGGCTGGCCTTGTCCCTGAGTGGGGTCAGCGGCCCTGAGGGAGAGGCAGCCAGAGTAGTGGGTGATATGGGGACAAGCCTGTAATAGTCACTCCTTATCAGCCTGGCCCAACGCGGCAGGCCTTTCTTGGGCTTTATTTTGGTAAGGGTGAGGCTTTGTTTGAACTCACATTCTCTGTTGTTCTGAGTAACCACACGTAGTGCCAAACCGAGATGGACTTTGGTGGTCTGTGCCAACCTTTGGCTGAAGAACACACTTAGCCGAGCGGCTCCTTTTTTGGGTAGGAAAATGTTCTTTGTGGCTGGCAAGTGCTGCCTTGAACTTCCTACTTACTTCATTAGCAGATTGTCAGGGGAGATGTGTCAGCTATCCTGGGACCCCTTGGCGGGGCGGGGGGGGCGGGGGCAGCCCCCTCCCCAGCTCTGTACTCTGGGGCCCTCACCCCTGAATCCTGGGAAAGCTTAGCACCTAAGAGTAATCCTGCCGGCTTAAGACCCTCCCCTGCTGGGGTTTCTTTTTAAGGACCCGTGTGACAAGGTGCTGATGAATCAACGTTATCACCTCTGTCAGGAATAATAAGTAAATTTTTTGAGAGTTTATGAAATGCTGGGAACTAAGTTAGCATTTGCTTGCATGATCTCATTATATCTGTAAGACAGCATTTCTGAAACTACTTGCTACAACCCATAGTAAAAACTATATGGTACGCCATGACCCAGGACACACATGTATAAACATCCCATAAAACTGAAGCAAAAGTTCCCAGAACTCATACAAAACCTTACTAAGTGTATTGTACTGGGATATTTTCTATTCTATTTCAACGTTTGGAAAGGTCATGACTCGCCAAACTGCTTTCAGGATCCACTGTGGGCACAGGTCAAGAAACGGAGCCCTGGAGGCCTGCACTGGCATCAGCCTCTTCTGTGTGGTGGGAAACTCAAGTTCAGGGTCAGGTGGTTCGTCCACGTTCCTGCAGCCTGCAGATGGCAGAGCCAGGACCCCACGCCATCTCCAGTCCAGTCTTTATCAGCCTGGGAGGTGGGCAGGGCCCCAGGATTATCCCCCTTTCACAGATGGTAAAATCGAGGAAGGAGTTGAGCAGGATCTTGGCCAGAGCCGTGTGTGTTCCAGAGCTGTGTGTGTGGCAGAGCCGTACCTTGAAGTTGGGTTTCCACCTCGGCCTTTCACAGACACCCAGGTGGGCTTGTTGATCTCTCTTGGTGCCACCCACCTGCCCTTTGGTGGGGGACTTTCTGTTCTTCTCGGGAGGCTGTTTGTGCACCCCTCTCCCTCCCGTGCGCTTGGTTCCTGTGCAGATGCAGCGGCACCCGTTTCCCAGCTTGCCCTGCCCCATGTCTGGGCTTAGCTCTGGGCTCTCCTGGAGCGGCCACCATTTCCATGCAACCAGCCTCGGTCCTTCCCCGCCGTGGCCGCGGCGAGGCGCTGCTGCTCTGCTGAAGGGCTGCTCCACGGCAGGGCTGCTGGGAGGGTGGGAGTCGCCAGCACAAAGCCGGAGCCCAGGCCGGCCTGGCTTTTCTTTGTCTTTTAAACCTGGTTTTGATTAGGGACAAGAGAGCGTTATTACACCATTAGAGAGCAATTAAAGATAGAAAAAGCCCTCACCTCGGCCCATCCCAACACCACCGCTCTCTCCATCTGCTGGGGCTCTCTTCTGACCCCGTCCCAGCAGCATCCATGCAACCGCAGGCACAATGCACGTGCCTTTTCGTACTCTGCTTTTCCACCCTATGGTCTGTCCCGATTGCTGCTCCATGTCGCCCCTGTTTTGTATTTAAGTTTCTATTTTAGAATGTCACGGTGCTGAGAAAATTGACATTCTACCCTAATAGTTCTGCCTTATGCTGGAAATCCTCTGCGGGAAACCTTTTTCATTGTGACTCAAATAACACACAATTAGTATAGAAAAATTGCAAACACAGATAAAAGTCCTTTCCCTGTGAATTTCTGAATGCACCTTTGAATATTCACATCTTACTGCCAAAATGAGATTGTCTTGTGTGCCGTTCTGGAATTTGCTTTTTTCCAGCTTACATGTTCTAGGTCCTTCCAGATCAATAGCTGCACTCTCCCTCCTTCCTCTGCTGGTTTCTCAGCTCGATGGGCTGTAAGTGGCATTACCAGGCCCTTGCTTGTGGGCGTGGCGGGGTTTTCTGTAGGTTTTTGCTATTACAGGCAATAACCTGAGGAACTTCTACATATACAAAGCTTTTATTCTATGGAGCCTTCCCCTATATACGTGCCCCAGAGCAAGGTCCCTGAAGCTGCTTCTGGGGGCTTTGGGGTACCATTCCAGTAAAAGGTTCTCTAAGGGCTGAAGCCCCTCTGTTGGGAGGCCCCTCTGCTTTTCTAAGCCCTGCCCACCCCCGCCCTCAGGGCCCACTCCTCCCACCTCTTCTTTTGCACACAGGGACCCCCTCCAGGCCCTGGGTCCCTGAGGACTCACAGCGTCCTTGGGACAGGCTGGCTCCTGTATGAACAAATGCACCTGCCTGCAAAGCTGGTCTTCCCAGACTCCCTGGAAGGGGGAGCCCACACCCGGGTCCCCGTGCTGTGGCCTCCGTGGTGAAGCTGGATGTTTCTCTGGAATGCCACGTTTTATGGTTGTTTTTTAATATGGATTTTGCTTCATCTTTCATAAAACAACCACATGTATTTTAGTATAAAAATAATATCTTACTCTATATTTGGATGAAATCACTTCTCTGGAATGATTCTGTGGTTTTGAATGCTCCTGGCACATTGCCAGGTGCTCCCAGATTTGCTAACCCAAGATTTAGCAGCAAGACAGTCCCTTAAGGTGAGCCGTGGAGGGGAGCTCTGTGGGGACAGCAGGGCCTCAGTCCCACCTCCTGAGGTGCCCTGGAGCTGCTTCCCCGAGGGTGCCTCTTGCTAAATATCCCGACCACTGCGCATGGGCCTGGCACCTCTTTGTTCATTCCAGCCTGAGCCTGGGCACCCAGGGCTCCCCTGATGCCACCAGTGCAACAGAGACCACCTAGGGATTCTGGGCCACTGAAAGCTTGGCAGAGATAGAGATTCCAGGCCCCCCTCAGATCTGGGTAGGGCCCCCAGAATCTGTGTTTTAACAAGCTCTTGAGTTGGTTCTTCCGCAAGCTCCTGTTTGAGAATTCCCAGAAACCAAATTCTGTTAAAGTGTTGGAAATGCCAGAAAGGAAACAGGTGTGGAGAGTGGCAGGTCAGCCGTCACCACAGTCTGCCGCCCACAGGGGGCTGAGGACAGGGCGTGTCCAGAAGGCACTTCCGGTACTGTCTGCTCCCCAGCAACTCCTGCTCGGGCTGGGCTTTCCCTCGTCTGCTGACCCACCTGCTGGACGAGTTCTCTGCTGTGCCATCCTGGGGTTCATGTGGGGGCCACGAGCCAGGATGGCTGGGCCCGACCTCACCCTGCACCTGTGCAGCACTTAGCCCTGGCCTGGCTGGGGACCCAAAGCCATAAGGAAAGGAGGAGGCAGGTGCCACAGCTGCCCTGCAGCGTCACGCAGGCGGCACTCCACCCAGGCTGTCACAGTGATCACAGCAGCACAGTGTGCATGCCAACTGCATTTCCCCATCCAGATTACTGCCGTGGCCGGACGCAGCAGCTCACGCCTGTAATCCCAGCACTCTGGGCAGCTGAGGTGGGCAGGTTACTTGAGATCAGGAGTTCAAGACCAGCCTGGTCAACATGGTGAAACCCTGTCTCTACTAAAAATACAAAAATTAGCTGGGTATGATGGGGCACGCCTGTAATCCCAGCTACTCAGGAGGCTGAGGCAGGAGAATCGCTTGAACCTGGGAGGCGGAGGTTGCAGTGAGCTGAGATTGTGCCACTGCACTCCAGCCTGGGCAACTGAGACTCTATCTCAAAAACAAAACAAAACAGAAACCAAACAAACAAAAAAACAGATTACTGCACAAAGTCCTGCCTGAATGAATGGGCTGTTAGGAACAACAGATGTACCAGTGGTTTCTGCTTTTTAAATTCAGTAGCAAAACCTTTGGCTCAAGAGAAATATCATCCAGAATCCCAGTACATAAAACAGGCTGAAGTAGGATTTCCCCTGGTTGGGACAAGTGAGGACTGGATCTTTGTCCCTCCAGCCTCAGCCCCACTTCCTGGGGTAGCCCTGGGCAGCTTTGCAGAAGGCGAGGGCCCCTTAGAGTATGGTTTGACAGTGAGTGGGGCAGCTGGAAACCCCCAGGATGTGTGGCTACCCCCAGAGCAGGGTTAAAGATGGGCAGTCCCAGGTTCAAATCCCCTTTCTGCCACTCAGCTGGCGGACGCTGAGTGCGTTGCTGTACTTCTCCAAGCCTGTTTCTTTCTTTGTAGAGTAGGGGTAAAGTAGAGGCCCAGTGGCTGAAAGGATAAAATGAGATGGAGCACTACAGGAAAGTTCCTTTGTAAAATGTTATCACTATTTCAGATTCACTTTGCTCTAAAGAGGTCTTTGTGTATTTAACCAACAGTTGAAATATGAATATAAAAGGCAGCTTTTCCACTTCCTATAGTTGTTATGCAAATATCAGTCACTGTGATGTGCACACTATGACTTTACCTCCCTCCAGGAGCGCCGGTACACCTGTCACCTGTTACAGCTTCCTAGAGCAGGCGATTCTGGAGGTGGGGCAGCCCCTGGCCCTGGAGGAAGGAGCCTGCTTACCTGAATCCTTAGTGGGATTCAGTGGTTGCTTGGTTCCTTGAGAGATAGAAATCTGGGAGGTCACACTTGCCATTTTCCCGCCTCAGGCTCCCCCAGGACCCGTTGTGGCAAGTTCTGGCAAGTAACAACACTCTTAGGATGACAGAGCCTTTACGCTCTGAGGACTGCAGATCAGATCCAGGCTCTGTTGTTACGACTGAGGAACCTTCCCAGGATCACACAGGAGGGCATGAGAGCAAGAGCTGGGGGTCTCCTGACTGCTGGCCCAGGACTTTTCCCTTTTTCCCCAGGCCATGTCCAACACTTGTGCCAGGGGACTGACTTCTCAGCCCTCACCTGTTCACTCTCGGTTTTTGATGACATGGGTGATGGGCATTCCCCACTGCAAGGACAGCTAGCTGTCTGCTGGTCGTGTCACCATTTGGAGTGGATCAGGGGCATAGGAGCGCCCATGTGAGAACCAGCAATGGTTGTTTACTCAGAGCTTACTGCGACCAGGGAGGTGTCGGCCACCATCACCTGCATTTGGCAAAGATGCAAAGAGAGGCAGGGGAGTGGGACACTTTGAAGCAGATGAAAGGGAAGGCTCAGATACACGCTGATTGGAGGTTATTGGCATGGGGAATCCAGAAGCAGCCAATGAGAAGTGGGGCATCCTTTGTCCTCTGTGAGCAGGAAGTGGGGCATGTTTGGCTTTCTCTGGATGGTCCTACTAAACTGGAAATGGGGAAAAATTTAGGAAAGCTGGCAGTTATTGATCAAATCTTGGCCATTTGGGGCTGACTGCTGCAGAGGCTGTGGTCTGGCTTCCTGGGCAGGTTACTGCAGACTGTGGGTCAGAGTTCCACCTTTACATGTGGCCTGGCCATTGTCCCTTTGTGTATTCAGGCTCTTGGGGGTACTGGGCGCTTGCTGTAGAATGTAGGCTGCAGAGACCTGCAGCTGGGACCCACGTGGTTCCCTGGTGGTGCAGGAGCCAGGATGGGTGAGGGGCAGTCTCTGGCCCCATTGTGGAGAAGGAAAAATGGCATCACCCACAAGCTCAGGTGGGATTGTCACTGAGTCCTGGCCCCTCAAGATAGGGCTCAGTGGCCAGGAGAGTGGGCTCTGGCTGTTGAGAAACAGGTCCTTGGAATGTGACTCTGGGGACCATAGCAAATGATAAACGTTCATGGTGACCTCCCTGGCTGGCCCCTTTTTTTTTTTTTTTTTTTTTTTTTTTTTTTTTTTTTGAGACAGGTTCTTACTCTTTTACCTAGGCTGGAGTATAGTGGTGTGTGATCTCAGCTAACTACAGCTTCAACCTCCCAGACTTAACTGATCCTCCCACCTCAGCCTCTCAAATAGCTGGAACTACAGGCATGCACTACCATGCCTGGCTACTTTTGTCTACTTTTTGTAGAGATGAGGTTTCACTATGTTGCCCAGGGTGGTCTTGAACTCCTGGACTCAAGTGATCCTCCTGCCTCGGCTTCCCAAAGTGCTGGGATTACAGGCATGAGCCACTGTGCCTGGCCTGGCCCCATTTGCTTTTTAAGGCCCAGAGTGAAGTCTGCTGAGTAGAAAGCATAAGTGAGCCTAGACATCACCAGGCAGCTCCCAGGACCCCAGACCTCTGCCACGGCCCTGCGCTGACTTGCATCCAGGACCCACTTGGCAGCTTGCGAAGCATTTCTGTGTCATTTGCCTCCTTCTTCCCTTTGACCTCCAGTAAGGAAACATGGTTGGGGAAGTTGAGTGACTGGTCCAGATCCTATACAAGTTCTCCTACATCCCCCTCTGCTGCTCCTCTCTCAGCAAAGGCCAGAATCTCCCCAGGCCCCACTGGAGGTGGCCAACAATTCCCACAGACCCTCCCTCCATGCACCTGCTGCCCAGCTATTGGGCACTTTCACTATGCCAGGCTCTGCACACCTTGGCATTTTCATGGGCTCTTCTCTCTGCCCGGAGCACAGCTTTTGTGACTCTGCTCGTTTTTCCATCCTGGCCTTCTCTGAAGCCCCTGTCCAGTGAGGCTGGCTTGGACTCCCAGGGTTAGTGCCTGTCCTCAGGTGATTCTCACTCTTGTGATTGCTTCTCCAAGGAAGCCCATTGCTGTTGCAAATAACATTGTCCTGGTGTGAATTTCAGAAGTCCATTTATTGGTACTCTGAGAATTTTCTCATTGAAAAAATAAAACCAGCCAGGCACAGTGGCTCTTGCCTATAATCCCAGGACTTTGAGAGGTCAAGGCGGGAAGACCACTTGAGCCCAGGAGCTTGAGATCAGCCTGGGCAACATAGCGAGACTCCATCTCGACAAAAAAATTATTTTTTAATTAGCCACGTGTTATGGTGTGTGCCTGTGTCCCAATTACTAGGGTGGCTGAGGTGAGAGGATCACTTGAGCCCAGGAGGTCGAGGCTGCAGTGAGCTGTGATCATGCCACTGCACCCCAGCCTAGGTGACAGAGACCCTGTCTCAAAAAAACAAACAAAAACCCAAAAAACAAAAAGACACCAAACAGCTGAATTTAAGAATAAAGTATGAAAAGTGCATTAGTTTAAAGCACGCAGTTTGCATCATTGGCAAGGAGGTGGATTTCCGTATTTGGTTAAGCTGCACCCTGGCTTTGAAGACTCATGCTGTCCATGTGTCTCAGTTGTGGAAAGATCAGCAGTCTTCTGTTCAGACCCAGTTAAGCTGGCTGTGTCTAGGAGATGCCTCTGCCATGCATGTACACCCGGTGCTGAGCAGCTGGTGCCCATTGGTGGTCTGCTGTGTGGGTGGGCACATCTGGGAATGGTGCCACAGGCCCCCTGGGTGGCCAGAGTGGTGGATGCTCTTATGTGTCAATCACTGTCACCAGAACTGCCTGAGCCACAGGGAGCCAGGCTGCTGCTCAGCCTGTCTGAGCATTGGAGCTGTCAGCCGCGGCAGCTGCCGCCTCTCACCCCGTATGCTGCACGCCCGCCTGCAGAACATGGCCTGGTCTGCGCGTCTGTCTGCCGTCAGGAATACACAGCAGGAAAGCGGGTGTCTGTCCATGCACACATGTGCATGCAACAAGAACATGCCAGCACATGCCTGCAATCCATCCAGGAGCACCCCACCTACCTCATGCAACCTCTGTGGGCCCAACTCATGTTTTGGTGGCCCTCATGGCCTGCACTAGTTCCAATGAACCCTGTGCTCACCAGGAAGCCAGGAGCTGCAGTTCCAGTCCTATTCCCTGCAGACCTCTCTTTGAAGCCCCTTTTGCCCCATCCCTGGTGACAAGATTCTAATCATGACCAGCTGTCCTTCCAATGAAGGGAGAAGAGGGCACCCTTCCTCCATGTCAGTGAGGGGCTTTGTCTCCTGTCAGTGCAGAGGGCGGGCTGGAGGGCGGGCACTGCAGAGCCAGGCCCTGCGCCTGCAGACAGCTGGGTGGATGCTGATATAGGAATGGAGGAGGAGGAGGACCAGGGAGGAGAGGATTGAGGGGGCCCCCGAGTGATAGCCCATGTGTGCGACCTGACCCGACTCCATGTTCATGACAACCCTGAGGTGTTTGTGCTAGGAGAAGGGTGAAGAAATGGCTCAGAGACTGAGTGACGCACCTGTCATGGAATTACTGACCCCCTCACTGAGATCAGAAACCTGTCATCACCTTAGACAATTCCCTTCTGTCAGCCGATCACCTTAACTGTCCAGATGTATAAGCACGTTTGCCTTCTGAAGTTCCCCCTAGCCTGTCTTCCCCTCGCACCACCGCTGCTCTCCTAGTCCAGGCTCTGGTCATTTCTTCTATGGACCATGAGCAAAGCTTCCCTGGAAAGAACTGACTCTCAGCCTGTTCCCTCATGGCACTACGTCTGCTGCAAACCTAAGGGGTCCCCTTTCACCAAGAGGAATCTGGGTTCCCAGTTATGTCCTAGTCACGCCCGCTGCAGACCCTCACAGTGTGACTCTCAGGTCCTGTACCCAAGATGCTATTTAACTCCATTCCACCAAGTTCACTTCCTGTCTCCACATCACCTCCTCCAAGAAGTCCTCCCTGAGCCCTCAGGCTTGGTTGGCTCTGTCCTCTGTGCTCTGCCGTGACAGAGCGGAACACCCTGTGTGCTAATGAACAGTTTCCTTTTTTTTTTTTTGAGACAAAGTCTCACTTTGTCACCCAGGCTGGAGTGCAGTGGTGTGATGTGAGCTCACTGCAACCTACATCCCTGGGGTTCAAGCGATTCTTATGCCTCAGCCTCCCGAGTAGCTGGGATTACAGGCATGCACCACCATGCTACGCTAATTTTTGTATTTTTAGTAGAGATGGGATTTCATCATCTTTGCCAGGCTGGTCTCAAACTCCTGGCCTCCCGTAAACTTTTTGCTTTAAACTAAAGCACTTTTCATATTTTATTCTTAAATTCACCCACCTCAGCCTCCGAAAGTGCTGGGATTACAGGCATAAGCCACCTCACTCGGCCATAATGATCAGTTTCTATGTGACCCTGCTCTGCCATGAGCTTCTGGGGACAGCGGCGGCTCGTCCTCATCTTTGTTCCCTCGTCCCCAGCACAGGTTCTTGCAGGTGGGAGGTTCTCAGTGAGTGCTCGCCATCAAAGGTGCCCACGAGGGAAGGAATGAGTTGCTCATAGAGTGGCTGAGGGCCTGGTGGCAAGCCCAGTGGAGTCGGCCAGGAGATCTTCGGAGGAGGGGCTTTCGCACATAGGGCGCTGTCTGAGACTGGGGTTGGGAGCCTATCCCTCTTCCCTCCCTGCCCCTCCCGCCTTGGGGATTAACAGAATCCTGAGATGGAGATGTGCTGGCACCCTGCTCCCTGCCTACCTGTCCTCCACCTGTCCATCCCTCCTCCCCTCCATCCATCGCGCATCCTCTCATCCAGAGTTTATCAAGGCATCTGTTATGGACCAGGCACATTACTAAGCCCCCAGAGGCTGAAAGTTTTGGGCCGCTCAGGATAGGACCCTGGGGCTTTTAGGCACCAAAACTCCATATTTCCTGCTTCTTCCTTGATTCCCCTGAAGATGGGTCTAGAGAGTTGGGGAGGTAGAGAAGGCAGCCCAGGCAGCATGGGTGGGTGGGGGTAGGGTACAGACCATGCCTGCTGGAGCCGCCCGCGTGTGCTGTAGATCCACTTTATTTCAGTTCAGGACAACAAAAGGGCAAACATGTCTCTAGGGAGAAAAACAAGGACATGATCCAGTTGGAGGAGAAAACTCACATGGAAGGAAAGTTAGGCCTCTTGTGTGCTGTCCAGACCAGGTGCAGGCGTAGGAAGGGGCACCACGGCTTCTCCAGAGAGACCTCCTCGCGCCTGTTCTCTCTCGCTTCCCTTGTTCCTCAGATGGCTCGCTTCCCTCTCTGCGCCCTCTGATTTCTGGTCAATGCAAAGCCTCTTGCTCCCCTGCCCCGAGGGGCCCGTGGCTGGTTACATGCAAGTTCAATCCCCAGGAGCCAGGGAGGGCCTGCTTGTTTCTGAGCAGACAGTGTGGGGTGTGGCATGGAGCTGCTGCTGGGGGAGGCTGCAGAGCAGCCTCAGACCTGCCCTCCCTGAGAGCTGCCACCTGGGTAGGGGCCGGGGTGGCTCTCCACCCTTCCCCACCGCAGTGCCTGCTGGGGCCAGGAGCAAGGGCCACGCAAAGGGCGGCAGAGATGGGGAATGAAGGGGAGAGAAGCATCGGGCAGAACAGTGGCTGCGAGCCTGGCTGACCGTGGAATTCCACAGGAGACTGAACACAGCCTCCTGGGCCTGCTTGGGGTTTCCGACTCAGTGGGTCTTGGCTGGGGTCAGCTTTGCTGTCTGCCCCAGGAGGCCATGGCCCTTGTTTGGTACCCACTTCCTAGGAGTCATGAGAGCCGAGCTGGCTCTGCCTGATTGGTAAGAATAAAGGGGAGAATGTCTGAGTAAGAGCAGGCGAGCCCTGGCTCCTCCAGGTCTCAGAGGAGCAGAAGCTGAAGATTTCTGGAAAGCACTTGCCCTTAGGGTGGAGAATCGAGGCTCCCTCCACCTCACCTCCAGCACCACAAGCAGGGCCTGAGGGTGGTGCACAGCAGAGGAGGTCCCTCATGGCCTGAGCTGGGTGGAGAAAGCACAGGACCAGGCAGATGGGCCTTCTTGGAGCAGTCCCTGCCACTGCGTCTCTGCTCCCCATCACTACCCTTGAAACATGCCACTTTCTCCCCAGAGAACAGCAGGATCAATCCTGTTATCCCTGCGCCATCCTATATCACCTTCCTCATGGGACATTTGGAGGGGACAAGAGGATAGGACCATGAGTATGACCATCCTCAATCTAGACCCAGCCTGCCTGTCCCTTCCCTGCTGTGTGGCCTTGGGCAGACACTCAGCTTCTCTGGACCACTGTTTCCTCATCCAACAAACGAGCCCTGCAGAGATCCTTCCCCTGGGACTGGGCTCTGAGCTCAGAGGATGCTCTGTCCTGCAGCCTTCCAGCAGGGAACCTTCCAGCAGGGAGCCTTCCTGGCTTTCATAGTTTCTCCTCGCCTCGGCTGGGTGCCTGGGATTCTGCCAGACCTCAGACTCCAGACTGTGGGAATGGTCACCTTGCGGGGACCTGCCCCTCCAGCACCCAGGGCCATTCTGCTATTTTTATCTGCCATTGGTTAATCTGTATCATTGTGTAGGCCAGCCTCTCGGTGCAGTTTTGCCGCAGCGTGTTACCAACATGAGCTCAGATGGTGACCTCACATAGTGACCTCAGTCCAGTGGAACTGCCCGCCAGGCGGACAGGCACACGGAATTTCAGTTTCCAGTAAAGAGCATATTCTCATTATTTTCAGGAACCTTAAAATGGCTAATAGACATCATCAGCAGGGATTGAATGCCTGTTAAAGTAATTATTAAAGTAAAATCAAGTGTGTTTACTTACTGGCGGTATCACTTACAGTGACGTACACAGATCCTGAGCATTCAGCTCCATGCGTGTTTACTTATCCAGCCCGTAACTACCGCCTGGATCAAAACTAAAGTACTCCTACACCCCAGAAGCTTCCATCCTGCCCCGTCCTGGTTTCTTACAGCAGGGTCTGGCCCAGAGCAGGACCTCCTCAGCCAGTCGGCAAGTGCACTGTAATGGGACCTGGGGTGGCAGAGTCGGAGCCGGGGAGGTGGGCAAGTCCCAGAGAGGCTTCCTGAAAGAGGGGGGCTGCTCCACAGAACCCAAGTGTTAACTAGAACAATGGTGGTTTTACCATGCAAAGGAAACAATAAGGCACTTACCAAAGCTGCTTTCTGCCCTCCTGAGTCCTAGCCCTGAGGTTTGTGGCTCAAGACCAGGTCCATCCCCATTTCTGAGTGGCTGTGGAGTGTGGTTCTCTGAGCCTGGCCCCCAAGTGCTGAGACCCTGAGACCAGGCAGCTGTCTCTACCTTCCGAATGGGAGTGTGATCTCTGGCCTGTGACCGCATGGCAGACTCAAGGCCTGAAGGCGTCTAAGAGCTGGGGTTGTCTGGCAGCTGGTGCCCGGTCCTGGCAGCCGCCTGCTCCTCCTGACAGTGGTCATTTCTTGAACACAGGGCACAGCTGCCCACAGTAGCGGGGGCCTTACCACTCTGTCATTGGGGAAACCTGCTTCTCAACCACCTTCGCTGGCCTGCTTTTCTCCCCTGGGATGGAGGACCTGTCCTTCCCTTGGCCGTGTGACCATCTGTTAGAGATTTCAGAAAGACTTCAGCTCCACCTGCCTGGACTGCTCTGGGTGGCCCCCTCCAGGACTTCCCTGGTCCCTCTGGCCTGGTCTTTTCTGGCCCATGGCATCCAGCCCCTCCACTGCAGGGCCCAGCGCCTGTGTCGGTCTGACCGGACCACCTGGACACTTGTGGGAAATCCTCACCTTGTGCTTTGTCTGTGATTCTCCAGCTCCAAGAAGCCCAAGAAACATCCCAAAGTGGCCGTGAAAGCCAAGCCCTCGCCCCGGCTCACCATCTTTGACGAGGAGGTGGACCCTGATGAGGGGCTCTTTGGCCCGGGCAGGAAGCTGTCTCCACAGGACCCCTCGGAGGACGTGTCATCCGTGGACCGTAAGTAGAGCCCCATGGTCTGCTCCTGGTGTCCTCTCGGTGCCCAGCCCCATCACCAGGCAGGGTCTGGACTCACCCGGCGTGAATAGGACCCATATATCTCCCCTGTCCTGTTTAGATGTGATATAGACTCAGCTTTGTGCTTCCATGACATCTGTGGGCAGATGTGGGCCCTGGGCTTCCAGGCACTGTTTGTGTGGTAAGCGATAGGGCCTGCCTAGGGCACATGTGTGACTGTAGGTTTGGATTTAATGGGACTCTGTGTCGCCTGCATGGACTCTGCTGGAGGGCTCTGTGCAGAGTTGGCAGAGGGAAAACCGAGCGGCCTTGGGACATCTCCACTCATCCCTTGGTCCCTTTCCTCACATGCCCAGGTCGTCCTCCGGTGAGGGGAATTGATGCCACCCACTAATTCAGCCCATACTTGGTGAGCCCTCACTGAGGGCCAGGCCCAAGAACATGCTGAGGAGTGAGACCTAGTCCCTGTCCCTAGTCCCTATCCCGAGGGCCCCGGGGGCCCCTGGGGAGACAGGTCATTGCCTGACAGTTACAAAGCAGCACCAGTTATGACAGGTTGAGCAGAGGCATCAATTCCTGTAGGACTGCCCAGAAGACTTCCTGGGGTGGGGCAGAGAGAGAGCAGCCATGGCATCCCAGCCTAGAGGCTTCCTCTGACCCCCCTGCTGCTGCCTTCCCACAGCCCTGAAGCTATTTGATGATCCTGACCTCGGCGGGGCCATCCCCCTGGGTGACTCCCTCCTGCTGCCAGCCGCCTGTGAGAGTGGAGGGCCCACACCCAGCCTCAGCCACAGGGACGCCTCCAAGGAACTGTTCAGGTACCACCTGTCCCCAGCGGCGCTTGGCCAGCTCTGAGAGTGTTCTGGACAGAGCCAAGGGCCCGGCTCATTGCCCAGTCTCAGCCCCAGCCTCCTCTGAGGGGAGGACCCCAGGCCTGTGAAAAGTAGAAGCCTGTGGGTGCACATTGGGTGAGAGGCGGTGAAGGGGGCTGAGGGGGAGGATCCGCAGCCCAGGGCTGCTCAGCTAGTTCCAGAAAGAGAGAACTTTGTGTGCACAACCAGTCTTTCTTTTCACAATCATATTTTAACAGTTTATGTAAAGAATAATTAAATTATATAATTGCAAGAGCAGGTATAACTGGCATAAGCAAGTTTGGGAACAAATTAAACGGACTCATGGCAGCATGCAGCCCACCCAGCGAGGGGGCAAAGTGCAGATGTCTTGGTGATGGCCTCTCTGCCGGAGGGCCCGGTCGGCAGCTTTCACAGAAGGAAGGGAGAATGAGGCCTCAGCTGTCACATGGAGGTCAATTGGCAGAACCTGTGCCGGTGACAGCTCCTATTTCCTGAGTCCTTGCTGTGTACGCAGTAAGCCAGACTCCTTACACGCTCTCTTATGTAATCTTCACGACAGCCCCCTAAGGTGGATGCTATTTTCTCCATATTATAAGAAATCAAGTGTGGGACGCCACCTGGCTAAGACCCCTGCTCTGCCCCTGGCCTGGCCTCTCCACTTCATCAGGGACTGTCTGAGCACTTGGCTGGGTGATCTGCCTCCCCACCCAGCCCCCCAGTTCTCCCCAGGCCTTTACCTCCACTGGCCACATTCTCAGCAGACTCAGTGTTGTGCGTGTCTCCAGCTCCCACTCCATGCTCCAGGACACAGGACTGTGCCTGGGATTCAGAGGAAGCCAGGCCGCCTCTTTCCAGGAACGGCTTATGTGACACCAAGGCATGCAGGCCCTGGAGGCTGTCATCTGTACCCCTCATTAGCAGCCTCGGGCTATTAGACAGCCCTGCAAGTGCCCGCCAAGCCTGAGTCACCGTGACGGCTTCTGGTATTTACATGTCCCCAAGGCCCCTGGCATCTGTTCACTCTCATCCTGTGTCCTCGCTCCTGACATCCCAGCGGGCTGGAAGAAACCAGGATTGTTATTTTATTAGAGGGAAACCGAGGCACAGGGAAATGAAATACTAGAGTCTGCCTGCGGAGCAGCAGGGCCAGGCCGAGCATGTCTAGGAGTCCATGTGTCCCAGTGGGGTGGCTCTCGTGGGACCTTTCTGGCCTAGTTTATTCTAAATCCGTTACTTCCCAACCTGTGTTCTGCAGAACGTGGTACAGTGGGGTGGTCAAAGGCTATCTTCAAAGGGGCTCTGTGGCTGATGAATTGGGGAAATGCCACAAAAAGCAGGGCTCGTAGTGCGCGGGCCAGCACCACATGGCACTTCACGTTCTCATTCATCCCTGGGCCCCCCACTCTGTGGTGCCCCTTAGCATCCCGCAGAGCGCTTGGGGAGTCCCTGCTCAAAAAGTGTGGGTCCCGCACCCCCACCTTCACTTTAGCAGACATCTGCTAATGAAAGGATTAACTGCTTTTCTTTTTTTTAAATTCAGACAAATTCAAAAAGAGCCGTAACACTGGGATTAGCTTCTTGAGAGCAGGAACCACATTCATTCTTTGTGTCTGCCCTGTGACTATCCAGGGAGTAGTTGGACTTCCTCATAATAAAGAATGTTCTGATAGCCATTCATTCATTCATGCTTTCACCCCTTCGTTCATTCTGTCACTAGCCTCAGCCACCCTGAGGCCGCGTGGGGTGTACACTGAGCGGGTCGAGGCTAAGAAGGCTTTGTTCCTTCTGGCTGTGCAGCCACACCAGGGCAGGGCCTCTAGTCTAGATGTTTAGGTGAGTCTTGTCTTCCGCAGGAACCCAGGGAGAAGGAATGGGGCCAGGGTCTTAGAGCTCCCTTACCCCCCACTGGTTGACCTCACACCAGCTGGGCCTGGAGGAGAAAAGAGCTGGACCTTGCGCTAGTGAGAGCTAGTCCTAGTCATGACTCAGAAATAGGGTGCTTGGAAAAGGGGTGCCTTGCAGCCTCCTGTGTCCCAAGAGCAGCTATGCTGCCTCCCACCGTGGCTGACCACCCGTGTACACCACCCACCTGGGAGCAAATCCAGCTGCTGATTAGTTCCAAAGAGTCACTGCTTTGCCAAGCAGGCTAATCCTGAAATCTGACATAAGCCTCTAGCGGCTGCTTTATTTTCCAAAGGGCCCCTATTTGAGGATAATTCAGTCCCTTTGAGCTTTTCCCAGGTACCCTCAGCCTTCAATGGAGGCTGCATCATGCCAGTGGAGCTGGCACCTGCCCTGGGGGAGTCAAGGAAGGGCTGCCACTTGGAGGGAGCTCCGGAACATCTGACCTGAGGTGGCCAGGAGCAGACTGGCCATGAGTGACACCTCCTGAAATCACCTCTACCCCAAGACAGCTGGTCTGTCTATGAAGGCCCGGCTTGGGCCAGTCCCTCTGGGTTTGTTCAAGAAGGACACCTTTTATTCATTTCTCTGCCATCCAAACAGACTCTGAATTCTCTCTCTGGGGTTTGTGCCCCATCACAGGAGGTTGAGCCAGGAAGCAGGCAGGGTGTCCGGAGCTCCTTCCACAGCTGGCTCCAGGCAGGCATCCACCCCTGGGGGTGCTGTGCTGGACACCTCCATACTCACACAGGCTCTCTGGTAGTGCCAGGAGTTGTCCTGATCAGAGGTATCGCCTCTCTATCCCCACCCCTGCCCGGCCCTGCCCCAGGGCAAGAAGCCGCTGCTCATGAGCCTGCCTGGTTCTTCCTGTTCATTCTCATTCCCACCTCCAGACCTCTGCTGTCTGCTCCCTTCTTCAGAATTCTCTCCCCTATTCATGCCAGGCTCACCCTTCTGAAAAGACCCACCTTCCCAGGAGGCCTTCCCAGCCTGCTCTGGCCCAAGGGCTCACTCCCTTCTCTGGACTTCAACACCTTCTTTCCAGGCCTTTGCAATTATGTGGCCCCTGTCTGACTGGGCTGGGGGGTGTCCCTCATTGTAGGTGGAGGCACTGCTTTTCTGTGTCTTATGCCCACTTGCTCAGCCCCTGTGGCTGTCAGTAGACATCAGTACATACAGCCTTCCTGTACATTTGGAAACTACTTTCCTTGTGTTGTCTTATTTGATCCTTGTAAGAATCCCTGTGAGGATGGTAGAGCAAGTACAATCCCACTTTATAGAAGAGACTGAGGACCAGGGAGGAGGAGTGGCCTGAGGCTGCCTGATGGAGGAGTTGCAGGGTGAGGAACGGAAGCCAGTTCTCCTCCTGCAGTGCTGTGCTTCTGTGTACAGTTCCGTGCAGCAGTGCCAGTGACACTGTTACTCCTGCTTGTAGATGAGGAAGCCGAAGCTTGTAGAGACCAAGTGGGTGCTACAGGTCTTCTGCCTTCACTCACCTGATTCCAGCATGGCTGAGCGATAGACGTAGAGATGCCCGTTAGCACAAGGGAAAACCTCGCCGTGACACTGGAGTCTAGGTGCCCCAGCCAGGGGAACACACCCCAGAGAACCAGCCACATGCAGGCCAAGTCCTGTTCATCCTCACACTAGCTGTGGGTCTCAGGGCAAGGCCCTTTGCCTCTCTGCACCTCAGTATTCTCAGCTGTAAAACGGGGCTAATCTCTGCGACCACACAGTGTTTGGAGATTATTGAATGGGTTAATGAATGTGGAAATGTCTGGCCATCACGGGTGTTCAGCACAGAGCTGAGTGGGTGGAATGGATTGAATGAGTCTTCCACTGTGCATCTGGTCTCCAGAAATCAAGTTCTGGAGAATCAGTGGCCTGGCCTGTTTCTTGCCCTCAGTACCCAGGGATGGTCCTGAGTGACCGTAACACTGCCAGGGCTTTTTGCCCACCCACCAGTGGGAGATTAGAGGTCTGGGGTCATGACAGAGTCTTGGTGGGCCCTGGCCGAGGCCATCCTCAGCTCTCACTGGGTTCCGTCTGGCACCCGTGTGGCCCACAGCGGGGCACTGTGGGCGGGCCAAGCCTGTACCACCATGGCTCAGCGCCCCTGGTTATTCTTTCTCTGGCTGAACTTGCTTTGGATGAGGGCTCAGCTTCTAAGGGCCGATGTCCTGTTCCTTCCAACAAAGGCACTGTCACATACCATCCCCTCGAGGTCACTCGGCCTCCTGGGACTCCAGCGTCCTCATCTGCGTGATGGAAGCACAGTCATGCCTCCCCAGAGTGGCGTTTTGAGGATAAGATATGATAACGTGTCTGAAGTGCTGTACAGAGCGGGAACTCTGTACATAGTAGCTGGTGGTTATTTCTGAAGGGATTGGAGGGAAAGCCCCCTACAGAAGGCAGCGTGTGTCAAGTGGGGTCACCTGAAGAGCAACTCTCAGGAGGCTGCGTGGGGCCTGCCCTGTGCCTGCTTTGCTGTGGGTGGGAGGGAAGGAGAGCCCTGGCCTTCGTGTCTCCTCTGGGCAGGATGGGTGGAGGGGCCAGAGTGGAATGGGGCAGAGCAGGGCGGGGCCTTGACCTGGCCGAGGCTGGGCTCCCTGCCGCTGCCCAGCCCCGTGTGGGCACTGGCATTGCCTGGGGTCTTGTTCCTGTCACGGGGTGGCAGTGTTATGCTCAGGGTTCCTCCCTGTGGTTCCCTAGAGTTGAAGAGGACTTGGACCAGATTCTGAACCTGGGAGCTGAGCCCAAACCCAAGCCCCAGCTTAAGCCCAAGCCACCAGTGGCAGCTAAGCCGGTGATACCCAGAAAACCAGCTGTTCCCCCCAAAGCGGGCCCGGCTGAAGCTGTGGCTGGGCAGCAGAAGCCGCAGGAGCAGATCCAAGCCATGGACGAGATGGACATCTTGCAGTACATCCAGGACCACGATACACCAGCCCAGGCCGCCCCCAGCCTCTTCTGACCCTTCCATGCTGGCCCCTGGCCCAGCAGGCCTGTCTGTGGGGACATCGGTGTGAAGGGAAGGGACTGGGCCCTGCAGGGTCAGAACCTCCCCACCCCCAGGGGAGGCCAGGCAGAAGCCTGGGTCACAGCACCCAGAACTGCATGGTTCCATTTTCTCCGGGGCTGTGGGGCCAAAGTAGAAGCCTGCGGGCTGCGGGAGCGGCTCTCACCCTAGGAGCCAGAGCCCAATGTGTCTTATTCCCCGTGGACATGAAGGGGAGGGAGGGTGTGGGGATGCCTTGCCAACCAGAAGCCCAGCCCCAAGGATGAAGCAAGACATGTGGGGCCGTAGCGAGGTGTCACATGGGGCAGGGAAGCTTCATGCCCACGGGTTCTGCCAGCCCCAGCACAGACCCAAACTGGGGCTGGGCCTCTATCCCTCCTCTGCCTCTGTTCGCATAGTAAGAAGGAGTGACCGGTATCCTCCCCTTCCCCTACCCTAAGCTGTAGCCTGGGTGACTGACTGGCCTGGGCCTGGGGTGGGGACGTCCCCAAGCCAAATTACTCCAGGGCCTCTGCTCCTCGTGGCTGCCAGGGGCCTGCAGGGTCTGGGTGGGTCTCCCAGGAGAGGAATACTGAGTGGGAGATCGGCTGTCTGGAGTGTTCTGATGCAAGTCTCTCTCTCCTGAGCCTCCTCTTGATGCAAGCTCTAAAGGGAGAAGTCAGGCCCTGCCTCTCCAGGGTATAGACGGCCCTGCTAGGCCCCAGTTCTTCCTCCTTCCCCCTTTCCCAGGAAAGGCCAGCCCAGTCCATGGCCTTCTTGGGCCTCTGGGCACAGAGCCAATGTTCGTCATTGCAGCTCTCAGCAAACTGGGTCATAGCTTTCCCCACAGCTCAGCCTGGGGCCTGGGCAGGGCTCCCAGCCTGCACCGCCTCCCACTGCCAGTGGGGCATGATTCTCTCAGGCTTCTGCCCCGAGGCCTTCGTCGTCCTCAGGGTCTGGACTTGGTCAGTGGCCTTTCACCAGTGGAGCTGCCTTCCCAGGGAGAAGGAGCCGTGCGCCAGGGCAGGGCCCGTGCCTTAGACTTCTCCCGACCCCCAGAGCGCTGGTACACAGGTCTAGGCACCACACAGTGCTTTGGAAATTCTCAGTGAATGATGTTTAATAAAGCAAAAAATGTCAAGGTGTCTTTCTTGGATATAATTCTTCATGTTCAGAGCTAGTTTTTTGTTTTGTTTTGTTTTGTTTTTTAATGAAACAGTAGTTTTAAAGGAAATGCAACCACTATTGCTCCTTGGCCCTGTCCTGCCTGGCAGAAGCATTGAGCGGGTGGGACTAGGACCTCAGACCCTTTTCTGATAGACACCAAAGCCAGCCCTGAGGGAGCCCCCGGCTGATGGTGCGGGTGGTTTGCAGCCATCAGTGTTGAGTGTCTCAGCTCCTGGCCCGTGCCAGGACCTGTCTGCTCTGTCCTGCATCTGATCACGTCCCTCTCCAGCTGTGGCGCCCTGTCCTGAGCAGCTTCCCCTCCACCAGTGCTAGAGTGAGAGGAAACAGGTGGTTTTGGGGTCGAGAGCTGACTCCCTCCTCCTCCGTCTTAACCCAGGCTCAGAGGGTCAGCTCCCTCCCCAGGGCTCTGAGCCAGCTCTGGGACAGCTCCAGCACCGGCTCCACCCATTTGCCTTCCCCCTTCACACCCGCCCCTCCTTCCCAGCACTCAGCCCCGGGCCCTGCATCCCTTGCTGACTGCAGCGGAAGGTCTCAGTAGGAGTGGGGAGGGGATGGGGCCAGGTCTTCCTCCGAGAGGTGGCTCCAGCTCTCCTCTGGGCTTTGTCCCCTCCCTGCCCTTTCTGCACCCTGATGCTGGCTCCCTGCCTCCTGCTCCCCACCTGCTTTGGGTCAAGTGACATAGGAGCAGAGGGCACAGCGGGGTAGGTGGCCACAGGGGCTGGTGCTCTGCTTGGGGTCACTGGCAGAACCTGGCCTGCCCGTTGTGTATTCATCCACTGTGGACGCCACCTCCTCAGTGGTCTGGACTCTCTGGACACCATCACAAAGACCCCCAGATATTGATGCTCCAGTATCTGTGGCTTGTTCTTCACCCACAGGACTGCGACTCATGGCCAATCAATGATCCTTGTCGCCTGATAAAGCCTGTGCCTGTGACCCATTCCAGCCTGTGTTAGTGATGTTCTTTTCTGTGCCTAGGCTGATGGCAGACCACCAGGGAGGGGAGAGGGGGAGAGGATTGTCCTTTAAAACAATGGACTCAGCCAGGGAAGCTGCCCTGCCCCAGTCACCCAGGCTGCTGCTTAGGGTAGGGGAAGGGGAGGATTCTGGTCACTCCTCACTATGCCAACCAAGGCAGAGGAGGCATAGAGTCCCAGGCCCAGTGTGGTCATCGGGCCAGTAACTGCACAGCCAAGACCCATGTAGAAAGAAAGAGGACCCCTTTCTGTCTCCAGACCTACCCCCTATTCTCCCACAGTGGAGATGGTCTAGGCTTGGACTGGCCCTGGGGCCCTTTCAGGTCTGACATCAGATGGCCCTGCGCCTCTGTCAGCAAACCCGCCCTGGCCTTCAGGGCTCAGGTTCTTAGATGCAGCTTCAGCCCTGGGACCCAGGGATGCTGAAGTAGAGAGTTCTGTCAACTGAAATCCACTAGAGAACTAGAAACAGGTTCTCAGGGAGCCTGAGAGGCCTCCTGCAGGGACAGAATGTGGCCTCTATCCCCCCCAAGATTTTGGTTGGAGTCTTGTAGCTAAGATTGAGCTGGAGTCCTGGCTCCTGAGGACAGGCACTTTGGCCATTCTGAGAAGGTCTGCTCAGGCCAGGAGCCTGCAGCTGAGAGTTCCCTGTGGAAGGGAAACAGAAGTTTAACTGGGGACAACAACACTTGTTTATTTCGAAGCCTGTTGTGAGCCCATGGACAGGATGTACTGTCTATGGCTGGGGTCCCACTGCTCCCTTCCTCCCGGCATTGTTCCTCTTAGGAAGCCGGGAACTCAGGCCAGTTCTGGAAAGTCCCTAGGGCCTTCCCTGGCCAGGCCTGTGTCATGGGCCCCCCTGGAGAGCACCTACCTGTTGAGTACTGGTGTCCCATGACCACGTCCATACAATGTATCTGGGACTAAGTTCACCTCCATGTGCCCCACGGGCTCCTCTGAGTCTCAAGCTCTCACACAAGGTACAGACGAGACAGCAAAGTCCAGCCACTCTCTGGGGCCCTGTGGCCTTATTGTCCAGCGGCCACCTGGGCGTTGTGTTGACATACTTGGTGCAGTGATTTAATACCCGGTGTCAGGCTGATGTGGAGGGTCATTCCCATTTCTCTAGCTCACCAGCTGCCTAGCTGAGCCAATCCTGGGAAACAGAGAGGGTAACAGAGCTACCAGCATGTCCCCACATAGTGGTCCTGCCTGCTGCTATTGGCTTCATGTGGGTTCACAGCTGCCCAGAGCAAACATAGTCAATGCTCAGAGCCTCCTCAAGGAGCTGAAGTCTCAGCATCAAGCTATGAATGGTCCCACTCACTACAAACTCTGATCGCTCCAAACCATTCCCTGCTCAGCACCCTAAGGCCTTGCAGTTGGGGAAGCTGACTGAGGGGCCGGTGGGGAAGCAGATCCAGGGGCCGGTGGAGGAGCAGTAGGGACTGGCCCTTGAGTTCTCATGCAGCCCACAGCATCCTGTGAAGCAGCAGCCAGGTTCTGTGGGCACAAACGGCCAGGGTTCCAGTCCAGCTTGGCTGTGTGATATCCCCTCACCCCACAGTGCCAAGTGAAGAGACTTACCCACCCTGGGTCCTGGGAGGAAGCCAGGTAGACTATAAAGTCCTCTACGTGCCTGAAGGAATTTCAGTGGACTGGTCATGCTAGATCCTCACAGAGGGACTTCCCTGCCCGGTACCAGCTAGCTCCTAACAGGAGGTGGCAGGCCACTGGGCAAGTGATCAACAGGCCTGTCAACAGCTCAGTCAAGTCCCCAGCCCCAGTGCTGACCACTGACTTCTATGCCAGGCCTGGCGCTGCGACACACAGAATCCCACGCGGTACACAGATATCCACCCTCCTCTGTGGCTGGCCTCTCACTCCTGTGCTCCGTGGCTCTGGCTACTGGGAAGAGCCAAGCAATTTCATGTGTCGGGTCATGCTCAGGCTAAAGCTACAGCTTCTGAAGTGGGATTATGGGCTCAGCATGTGGCCTCGGTAAGCCGACTCTTTATTGCTGACTTTCAGAGGCCTGATGCTTCTCTGCCAACTCAGCACATAGCAGCCGCCTCTGAATGGCTTTTTAAATAAAGCTGGGCTAGCTCTCTCCAGGCCAACTGGCCAATCATGTCGTTTGTTTTCCCACATGCAGAGCTCATCCATAAACACTAAGCACGTAATGGGCACCTACCGTGTGCAGTACCTGTTCCAGGCAAGTTGGAGGAAGCAAAGATGAAAAAACTTGAGCCATTAAAGCCAATTCTACCAGGAGCCATGCTGAGCCTCTAGTTTCACTTCTGTTCTCTGGGCCTTCTGCCTGAACCTCAGGCACAACTAAAGGAGGTGCCTCCTCCATGCGGCCCTCTCTGCCTGTCCTTCCCCCTCTGCCACCTGCCAGCATGGACAGTTTGTTACCTGCAGCCTGGGCTCAGCTTTTGTTCCATTTCCTGGAGCTGCCTTGGCAAAGCACCATAAACTGGGTGGCTTTAAACCACAGGAATGTATTATCTCACAGTTCTGGGGGTCACGAGTCTAAAATCAAGGTGTTAGTAGGGCCATGGTCCCTCTGAAATCTCTAGGGAAGGATCCTACTTTGTTTTGTCCTGGCTTCTGGGGGTTTCCTGGCAACACTTGGGGTCCCTTGGTTTATAGCTGTATCACCCCAGCCTCTGCCTTTGTCTTCATATGAGTTTCTCTCCTCTGTGTCTGTGTCTTCACACGGTGTCTTCTCTGTGTCTGTGCCCAAATTTCCCTCTTATAGGAAAGAATACCAGTCATTGGATTACGGCCCACTGTAATCTGATATGACCTCATTTCCCTTTAATTATACCTGCAAAGGCCCTATTTCCAAATAGGAGCACCTTCACAGCGTCCTTGTGGACATGAATTTGAAGGGACGCAATTCGACCCAGTACAGTTACCACCTGTCCTGAGCACGTGGCATTCAGCAGCAAGCAGAGGCCCATTCCATTCTGCAAGGCATGCCCCCTGTGCCATCCCTGTGTACTCTGTGTGTTTCAGCAGTGCCATGTCGGTTTCACTCCCATGTGAGGGGACGTGTCAGGAGGAAGCTGGGCAGGCAGTTGTGTGTGTAGACACCCACCACGGGCCATCATTATAAAGTTCTGTCCTTTGCAGCTGCTGCCAGACATGTCAAATTCTCTCTATCAAAAGCTGGATCTCTTTATTAAATAGTGAAATGACTCCTTAGATAACATGTGGCACAAACTGGAGAGCTGGTGACACTCAGAGCTATCCTGGCTGGCAGGCGGGCAGCGGCGTTCCTTCCTTCCTTCCTCCAGCAGTGCCCCTCTGGAGAAGGCCTTCCCTGGCTGGACCAGCACTGTCTGTTCAGAGCCATAGGCAGCTGAGTCCTGGGGCTCCCCCTTGCCATCACCCCATTATCCTCTCGCTGGCCTCCGAGGTAGTCGGAAAGGGCTCTGAGGATGCTGGCAGTGGGAACTAAAGGCTTCCGGAGCATGGGAGCTGCAGGCCAACTGCCTTTACTGCTGCCTTCTCAAGCTGGTTTTCTTCCTTTGCTGAGATCGCCCTTGACGTCTCCACAGTGTGTTTCTGTTTTTCCTTTTGGTGTTATCGCCACTTTGCTGATTTTCCCCTAACAAGTGCTCTAGGTCCCAGAGGGCAATGTTTTTCTGGATTAGAAAGTAGAACAGCTGATTTCTTGCCCACCTGTTTCTCAGACATCAGAAGCTGCAGAGAGGCTGAGCTTGACTCAGTCCCCCCCATCCCCAGATGGCTTCATTTTACACCTAGGTTGGTTCCAGGACCCTAAATTGGGCTCTGTCTGCTTGTATGGGTGGCCCTAGGATTTGCATCGGGACCTCACAGTCTATAAAATCCATGGCTGTGGAATGGAAAATGGTGCAGCACTTTGGGAAATAGATTTAGCAGTTTTTACAACAAGTAAACATAAATGTACCACACAAATCAGCAATTCCACTCCTAGGCATATACCTAAAGAGAAAGAGAAATATATGTCCAGTCAAAGGCTTGTACACAGATGTTCATAGCAGCTTTATTTATCACAGCCAAAAAGTGGAAACAATGGAAAAGCCTCTCGGCTGGTGAATGGATAAACTAAATGCAGTAAATCCATATAATGGAATATTATTAGATCACAAAAACGAATGGAGTGATACATGCTGCAATATGGATCTACCTCAAATACATCATGTTAAGTGACAGAAGCTAGACTCAAAAGACCACGTATTGTATGATTCTATGTATAGGAAATTTCCAGGACAAATCTACAGAGACAGAAAGATTAATGGTTGCTTCAAGCAGAGGTTGGAACTAACAGTGACTGCAAAAGGGCACAAAGAATCTTTCCCAGGGTGATAGAAATGCTCTAAAGTTGGCTTGTTGTGATGGTTGCACAATTTGATAAGTTTACTAAAATTGTTCAATTGTACACTTAAAATGGGTGATGTTTACGGTATATAAATTATATCTCAATAAAACTGTTAGGATAATTTAATGATTGGAAAAAGAAGGAAACCAACAAATCCATAGGCAGCAGAGTGCAGAGATTAAAAATGTGAGCCAACTCCTGGCTTTTGGGCTTCCTGGCTGTGTGACCCTGGGCCAGTTACTTAACCTCTCTGTGCCCCAATTTCCTCCTCTATAAAATGGGGGTAATAATTTTACCTGCCTCATTAGGGTAGTATAAGGCTAAATGAGTTAATATTTGTAAAGTTATTTGAACAATACCTGATGCATAGTATTCATTATATGTGTGTAATTAACATTCTGTTGAAATTCTGTTAAGCTGCTGTCTATTGGGCTATGAGGAATCCTAGAGTTTGAGTACTCCCTCTCTTCATCTGAGAGTGAACACCAGACATCTTCGTGGAAAGGGGTGCTGATGGCTTGCTCTCCATGGAGGGTGGTTGTAGGTGCGGGAGGAGGCTGTGCCACCCTCTGCCATCTCTCAGCTTCTCTGAACCCCACGCTGCTGAGCAGGGTGATGGCCTGCTTCTGCTGCCTCACCGTGGGGTGGGGGGCATGGGAATGGGCACATACAAAACCACTGGAGACCCAGAAAGGGGCCCTGGGATTGAGGGACCCTGTGTCCAGGGGGCCCTGGTATGTGACTGGGGACTGGATCCAGGTGGGTCATGGAGGTCTACCAAAGGGAGGGTAGATGGAACGAACTGGAAATGAGCCATTCTGACAAGGAATAATGTCAACAGGACTGCGGCAGCGGGGAGTACATTCCAGCTCACCCCACACTCAGAGCAACAACAGCTCTCCCAGCACCATGGAGACAGGAAGTAAACACATCGGTTTCCCTCTCCTGGTCCCTGAACTTTGCGCACGATGTGGTCAAGTGGAGAGAGGTTTCTGGCAGTCCCAGCGGCCCATGGTCAGGCTGGCCTGTATCCCTTTCTCTTTACCCCTTGGGATTTCCCAGCTTCCTTATCAACCCTCAATCACTTTGGGAGGGAGTGAGCCAGCGTTCCCCCTTCCTTCGAAAAGAAGCCACACACACAAAGACTTAGACACGAATGTTCACAGCAACATTATTCATAAGGGTTCCTCCCCCAAAGGAAACAACCCAAATATCCATCAAACAAACGGTCAATGAACAAGCAAACAGTGGCACATGGATGCAGCGGAATGCTGTGCAGCGTCAAAAAGGAAAAACCCTCTAACAGACATACCACAATGGATATCACAAACATGCTAAGTGAAAGAAGCCAGACCCCAAAACTATATCTTGTATGATCCCACATATATGAAACCCTAGAAAAGGCAAAATTGTAGTGACAGAAAGCAGACCCATGGTTGCCAGGGGCTGGGGATGGGCAGGACAGGAGTGGTTGGCTGCAAGGGGCCATGAGGCAGCTTTTGGGAGTGATGGAAGTGTGCTACGCTGTGAGCATGACTATAAACGTTCACCAAAACTCATCAAACTGTGCACTTAAAATGGGAACATTTGATTATACGCGAATTATATCTCAATATACCTGTGGAAACCACAGTACAAAACTGAACATACTCTTACCATACTCTCCAGCATTTGTGCTCCTTGGTATTTACCCAAAGGAGTTAAAACTTATGTCCTCACAAAAATCTGTACATGGATGCTTATAGCAGCTTGATTCACAATTACCAAGACTTGGGAGCAACCAAGATGTCCTTTGGTAGGTGAATGAGTAAACAGACTGCAGTATATCCAGGTGATGATTCCACTGAGCATTTAATTCAGTGCTAAAAAGAAATGTGCTATCGAGCCATGAAAAGATATGGAGGAAACTTAAATGCCTATTACTAAGTGAAAGAAGGCAATCTGAAAAGGATATATATGTTGTATGATTCCAGCTATCTGACCTGGAAAAAGCAAAACCACAGAGACCATAAAAAGATCAGTGGTTTCTGGGGTTCAAGGGGAAGAGAGGGATGAATAGGAGGAGCACAGAGGATTTTTAGGGCAAAAACTTATCTGTATGATACTCTCATGGTGGATCCGTGGCATTATTCATTAGTTTAAACCTACAGAATGCACCGCACCAAGAGTGAACCCTAATGTATGCTATGGCTCTGGGTGATAAGGAGGCGTCCATGTGTCCATGTAGGTTCACTGGTAAATGTCCCACTCTGGTGCAGGCTGTTGCTGGTGGGCGAGGCTGTGCATGTGTGGGGGCAGGAGGCATGTGGGGACTTTGTACTCTCTGTTCAATTGTGCTGTGAACCTAAAACTGCTCTTTAAAAAAAATCTACTTAAAAATAAAAAAGGAACCACAGGGAGGAAGCTCATGAAGTAGAAGATGCCTGCTGCCCCAAGATACCTGGTATCCCCAGACCATGCCCCACCTTTGGTGATAGCCCCCACAGTCCCCAGGGTACCTGGGCTCCAAGTGA
This sequence comes from Homo sapiens, assembly GCF_000001405.40. Classification (NCBI taxonomy): domain Eukaryota; kingdom Metazoa; phylum Chordata; class Mammalia; order Primates; family Hominidae; genus Homo; species Homo sapiens. The sequence continues at coordinate 20,609,909 of NC_000002.12, read as the reverse complement.
GGCTTAGCAAACGTTTCACTGATGGTGGGAGGGGTTTCCAGTCCAGTAAATGGGAAAAACTGAGTCAAGGGGCTGGGGGCACCCTCTGAGGGAAAGGACACCTCCAGAGTCCTCTGGAGCAATGAGGGGTCAGAATCCTCAATTGGCCTGGAAGTCCTGGCACCAACTGGCCTTTGTTCCTTGACAGCATCTCTCTCCTCCTCTGTACGATTTCCAGCTTTTCTTTTTCTTCCTCTAGTTACCCTGTGTTGTCCTGGACAGGTGAATGGGGAGAATTAACTGCATGGTGGCTCAGGGCCTACTGGCACAGTATGGGATGACACACAGCTGAGCAAATCCACAGAGCGGCTCAGCCCAGCCTTCCCTCCTCTCCCCCACTCCTGGAATGAAGCCAAGAGGAGCCTCAGTATTCGGAAAACTGTTCAATGTGCTCCCTAGAGAAGGCTCCAAGAGCTGAGCTACAACAGGCCTCACGAGAACAGGCCTTTTCCTGGAGGAGAGCTCAGAGGTCCCCCCGGGCCCCTGGAACGGCTTTGAAGTGGCAATCTTACTGAAGGTCTCCACCAGGACCCCTTTGGCTTGGGGAGTGCATGGTCCTTTGCTGGGATGCAGGAAGGCTGCTGTGGGTTCTCATGTGGCAGAGAGCGAGGACTAGAGCCCTGAGAACCTGACTTCTCACAGGCACTATTAGAGCAGCAGGCCAGGATCCTGATGCAGCGCCTGGCGGCCTCTGCCCCCAAGGACGGTGCTCATCCTGCAGCTACCCATGGGTGGAGAGCCACAGAGCAGGGGCCCTTGAACACCTGTGTTTCTTGGATGGGCATCAGTTCTCTCTGGGCTCCTGCCAATCAGGCCAACAAGGTTTTGGGGTTTGTTTTCCCTGTAGCCAGGCGGGCTCAGACATAGCTCTTCTCAGCAAGCCTGACCTCTTAGGCTTTTCAGGACCTCAGCATTTATGAAGTGTGCCTCAGGCCTCTTCATGCTCAGAGCTGTGGGAGAGGGCCAGGGAGGAGAGATGCATGACTAGTTGGAGCCACAGGAGTGAGGCATAGGAACTCCGCAAAAAACTCTTGGTTTGAAAGATAGAGCACTGAATCAGAAAGTGGAGGGCAGAGGTGGGGACTAGAGGATGTGAGTGTGGCAAAGGCTGGAGAACTGGTTTCCTTGGGGCAGCAGAGTGAGCAAGGGTGACAGCCGGACACCCTGGAGAAAGTAGAGGATGAGCCAATGAGAGTCAAGAAAACACTTGGTGAAAGACAGAAATCTTTGCCCGAAGATCAGGAACAAGACAGGATGCCCGTTTCTGCTACTTCTTTTTTTTTTTTTTTTTTTTTTGAGACGGAGTTTCGCTCTTGTTGCCCGGGCTGGGGTGCAATGGTGCAATCATGGCTCACTGCAAACTCCACCTCCCGGGTTCAAGAGATTCTCCTGCTTCAGTCTCCCAAGTAGCTGGGATTACAGGCATGCACCACCACAGCCAGCTAATTTTGTATTTTTAGTAGAGACGGGGTTTCACCATGTTGGTCAGGCTGGTCTCGAACTCCCAACCTCAGGTGATCCTCCCGCATCGGCCTCCCAAAGTGCTGGGATTACAGGCATGAGCCACCACACCCGGCCTGTTTCTGCTACTTCTATGCAATATTGTACTGGAAGTTCTAGCCAGAGAAACTAGGCAAGAAAAAAAAAAGACATCTAGATAGTAAAATAAGCAGGAGAACCACATTTATTTGCAGATGACATGATCTTACATGTAGCTGATACTAAAGAATCTACAAAAAAACTATTATAGCTAATATATGAATTTGACAAAGTTGAAGGATACAATATTAACACAAAATTAGTTATATTTCTATACACACTACAAAAGGAAAATCAAGAAAACGATTCAATTTACAATAGCACCAAACACAATAAAATAACTAGAAATGAATTTAACAAAGGGAGGGGAAGACTTGAACATTGAAAACTATGTAACACCGCTGAAAGAAATTAAATAAAATTTAAGAAAATAAAAAGACATTCCATGTTCATTGATTAGAAGACTTGATATTGTTAAAATGACAGTAATCTCCAAATAGATCTACAGATTTAATGCCATGCTTATCAAAATCCCAATGTGATGTTTTTACAGAAATGGAAAAGCTAATCCTAAAATTTGTATGGAATTACAAGGGACCCTGAATAGCTAAAGCAATCTTCAAAAAGAAGAGCAAAGTTGGAGGACTTATACTTCCCAATTTCAAAAGTCACTACAAAGTTACAGTAATCAAAACAGTGTGGCACTGGCACAGGATAGACATATAGATCAACTGGATGGAATTAAGAGTCCAGATATAAACTCATACACGTGTGGCACTTGATTTATGACAAGGGTGCCAAGACCATTCCATGCAGAATAGCCTCCCAAGAAATTGTATTGGAGGGGACATCCACGTGTAAAAGAATGAAGTCAGAGGCCAGGTGTGGTGGCTCATGCCTGTAATCCCAGCACATTGGGAGGCTGAGGTGGGCAGATCACTTGAGGTCAGGAGTTTGAGACCAGCCTGGCCAACATGGTGAAACCCTGTCTCTTCTAAAAATACAAAAATTAGCTGGGCATAGTCATGGGTGTCTGTAACTCCAGCTACTCAGGAGGCCAAGGCAGGAGAATTGCTTGAACCTGGGAGGTGGAGGTTGCAGTGAGCTGAGACCACACCACTGCACTCCAGCCTGGGCGATGGAGCAAGACTCTGTCTCAAAAAAAAAAAAGAATGAAGTTGCACCCTACCTCATACCATATGCAAAAATTAACTCAACATAAATCAAAGACCTAAATATAAGAGCTATTACTATAAAACTCTTAATAAAAATATAGGGTAAGTCTTCATGACCTGAGATTTGGCCATGGATTATTAGATATGACACCAAGAGCACAAGCGGCCAAAAAAAAATAAAAAGATAAATTGATGAATTTATCGAAACTAAAAACTTTTGTGCTTCCAAGGACAACATCAAGAGAGTGAAAGACAACACAAAGAATAGGACAAAATGTTTGCAAACCATATATCGTTTAAGGATCTAGTGTCTAGAATATATAAAGAACTCCTACAACTCAACAACAAATAACCCAATTTAAAAATTGGCATAGGATTTACATAGGCATTTATTCAAAGAAAATATACAAAGGACAACAAACACATGAAAATATGTTCAGTGTCTTTTTGTCTGACATCTTAGCGAGGCTGTAGCGTTCACCGCTGCTCTCTGAGCTTTGCAATGCCACCCAAGGACAAGAAGAAGAAGAAAGACGCTGGAAAGTTGGCCAGGAAAGACAAAGACCCAGTGAGCAAATCCGGGGACAAGGCCAAAAAGAAGAAGTGCTCCAAAGACATAGTTCGGGACAAGCCCAATAACTTAGTTTTGTTTGACAAAACTACCTAAGACAAACCCTGTAAGGAAGTTCCCAACTGTAAACTTATAACCCCAGCTATGGTGTCTGAGAGACTGAAGATTTGAGTCTCCCTGGCCAGGGCAGCCTTCAGGAGCTCCTTAGCAAAGGACTCATCAAACTGGTTTCAAAGCAGAGTTCAAGTAATTTATACCAGAAATACCAAGGGTGGAGATGCACCAGCTGCTGGTGAAGACGCATGAACAGGTCCAACCAACTGTACATTTAGAAAAATAAAACTTTATTAAATCAAAGAAAAAGAAAATATGCTCAGTGAAATCATTAGTCAAAAATATACAAATCAAAACCACAATGAGATACCCACTTAAATCTATTCAGATGGCTAGAATTTTTTTTTTTTGAAAGAAAAATAACAAATGTTGGTGAGGATGTAGAGGAACTGAAAGCTTCATACCCTGCTGATAGGAATGTAGAATGGTATGGTCAATATGGAAAATAGTGTGGTGGTTCCTCAAGAAGTAAAATAGAATTACTGTATGACCCAGCATTCCACTCCTAGGTATATGCCCCAAAGAATTGAAGACAGGGGTTCGAACAAAACTCATGCAAGAATGTTCCTAGTGGCACTATTCACAATAGCTAAAAGGTGGAAACAACATAAACATCCATCAGTGGAAGAACAAATCAACAAAATGTGGTTTATCCATCCAACAGAATATTATTGAGTCATAAAGAACAGCCCTAAAGTATTAGTACAAGAAGTGCTGACACACACTAGGACATGGATGAACCTTGAAAACATTCAGCTGAGTGAAAGAAGCCAGTCACCAAGGGTCACACATTGTAGGATACCATTTATATGAAATACCCAGAAAAGACAGATTTAAAGAGACAGAAGAAGGTAGGTAGCTGGTTGCCAGGGGCTGGGAGTGCGGGGAGGTATAGGTTTTCCTTTGGGGGGTGATGACATATTCCGGAAGTCGATAGCAACAAGAGTTGTACAGCTTTGTAAATATACTAAACACCACTGAATTGTACCCTTTAAAATGGTTAAAATGGTAAATTTTATGTGATGTGTATTTTACCACCGCCACCACCAAAAACAAAAAGTTTACCTAGGACATGATGGGAACAAAAGGAAGGTGGCCTTGCCTGCCAGGCCGAGGCCTTGGAGTCATCGATGATGAGGGGTGAGGGTGACATGGAAAGCCTGAAGGGTGTGGAGGATGGAAGGCATGAAGCAAGTGGGGGGTGCAACCTGTGTCTATAGATGATGCTGAAATCTTGATGAGGAGAAGCTGGGGAGCCATGGGCCTCCCAGGTTTGGGAAGCTCGTGTGTGTTTGTGCACTTCCTGTGAATAATAAGAGCTGGGACTTGTCTGTCTTGGCTGCATCTAAACTGAAGACAAATTCTCCCCTGGTTTGGCAGGAAACATTTGAAGCTATTGCCAAGACATCTGTTTCATCATTCTTGGCAACAAAAGGCATCCTGAGAGAGAGACTCAAGGCTGGAACTGGGAACATCCATGATTCTTTTTCCTTTTCTCCCGTGGGACTTTAAATGAACGCTCCCAACCTCAAGGAGCCTGGGCTGCAGAGAATCTGGTGTTTAGGGAGAGAAATGAGTCGGAGTGGGGATGGGAGGGCAGGTAGTGCAACCAGGTGAGGCCCAATAATATCCTGAAAACCCAGACTCCGTGGCAGAGTCTCTCTCAGGGGATGGGATGGAAGCATCTTCCCTCCTCTGCGACCTGCTTGGCTTCTGGCATGAAGAAACTGGGGGAACTGGCCCAGAACAAAGAACACAGGTTTTGCTGTCAGACAGGCTGGATGTGAATCCCAGCTTGCTCACTCTCTAAGCCACCTTGAGCCAGTCTCTGTGCTCTCATCTATAAAAAGGGTAATCAATGTCTACTCCACAGATTTGTTGTTGCAATTCAGGGAGGTGCTCACGTGAAACATGAGCAGAGCCTGGCTCACTGGAGTGGCTCAGGACATGTCCTGGAATCCTCCAGAGAATTGGGCTGAGAGGCCACTGAGCCAGGCTCACCTATCCCTGGACCTCAGTCGACCTGTCTCTAACACGAGGAGGCCTGATGCTGACTTTCTGTAATCTCACGACAGAGAACTCCATGCCCAAGGCTGTCCCGGGGCAGTCTTTAAAAGCAGGCTCCTTATTCAGGGGCTGAGAGAAGCAGAATGTGGGGTGTAGACTAGAAAGCTACTGATTCTGCAGCTGAGGGGTGAATGACCACTGAAGTGTAGACAGCCTCTTAGACCATCCCCTAGGCTCCATGGGGAACAGGGACAAAAGAGGCATCCTCAGCTACACTGCAGCTCCTGCCTTCCAGAACCTCCCCTGAGTTTCTCAGCCCCTTAAGGTCTGATGAATTGTTATTTAAATATTTAAACATCATCAAGAGCACTTGTTAATTTCCAAAAAGGGAATCTGCAGGCCCCACTCATTTAGGATGTTGGGCACCTTCTGAGGGCAGGGGTCTTGGAGGGCCCTCTGGGAAGCAGCGGACTGGGCTCCTACCGAGCTCCAGCACTCTCTAGACCCAGTGCAGGCCCACTGGGCATCAGGCATAGCTGTCTCCATTTTAGGGAGATGAAGCGATTTGTGTGAGGAGCTTACATAGCTGGGAAGCGGCTGAGCCGGAGTTAGAACCCATCTCTGGAGGGCCATGTAGGACCTGGGTTCCCATTAACAGTCTACTGAGTAGGCCAAGCATGGTGGCTTCCATTATGTTTTTTAAAACGGCTTCATTGAGATATAATTCATGTACCATATAATTCACTCACTTAAGGTGTAAATTCAATAGTTGTATTACATGCATAGAGTTGTACAAATACTACCACAATCAATTTTATATTTTCATCACTTCTAAAAGAAACTCTATACTCCTTAGCCATCAAACCCCAATCTCTCTATCCCCTCAACGTTAAGCAATAACTAATCTACTTTCTATCTCTCTCTATTTGCCCATTCTGGACATTTTATATATATGGGATAATGTAATATGTGGATTTTTGGTAATTCTGACTTCTTTCGCCTAGCATACTGCTTTCAAGGGTCATCCATGTTGCAGCATGTATCAGGAGACCTGGGCCATTCCTTTCTAGGGCTGGATAACAATTCTTTGCATAGCTTTACCGCATTTTGTTTATCCATTCATTAGTTAATAAGCATTTGGCTTTTTTTCACCTTTTGGCTATTGTGAATAATGTTGCTGTGAACATTCATGTGTAGTTTTGGTGTGGACCTATGTTTCTATTTCTCTTGGACATATACCTAACAGTAGAATTGCTGGATTATATGGTGATTCTATGTTTAACTTTTTGAGGAACTTCCAGACTGTTTTCTAAAGTAATTGTGCCATCTTATATTCCCACCAGCATGATATGAAGGTTCCCATTTCTCCACCTCCTCCCTAACAATTGTTAATATCTGTCTTTTTAATGATAGCCATCCTCATGAATGTGAAGTGACAGCTCATGGTGGTTTTGATTTGTATCTGATGACTAATGATGTTGAGCATCTTTTTTGGTGCTTGTTATTAGCCATTTGTATATCTTGTTTGGAGAAATGTCTATCTAGATCTTTTGCCCATCTTTATATTGTGTTGTCTTTTTATTATTGAGTTTTCGAAAAGAGCTTCTTATGTATTCCCGATAAACCTTATCAGATATATAATTTGCAAATATTTTCTCCCATTCTGTGGGCTGTATTTTCACTTTCTTGATAGTGGCCTTTGAAGCACAAAACTTTAAAATTTTGATGAACTCCAATTTATCTAGTTTTTCCTCATGGGCTTGTGCTTTTGGTGTCATCGACTTTCCAGTTTTTAAAAACAATATTTAACATAGACAAATTTGACCATACCAAAACAGTCATCAGATTTCAAAAACTGTATACAAAATGAGCAATCATAAGGATTTGAGAATCTGTTAAAGAGCTATTGATGTTTCGGTTTTTTTCAAGCTCACACTTTAAAAACTTCTTTTTTATACTCCACTTTATTCCAAAAATAATTTGATGCCACTTTTGAAAATTTGAATAAGACAAAAAGATACCATAAATAAACAATTCTGAGCAAAATGAAAGTATGCATCTTGCGATGAAACCAAAAGTAAATTCCGTGCATAGAATTACATTCACAGAGCTTCCCAGTGACCAAAGCAAAGAGGGAAATACAGTTATTTATTAATATAAGATTTGCAGGCATATGACATAAAAGTGTATCTGTAGTTTAGAAGAGACGTTGCTCTTTCTGGCACAGAGGCCAGAAATAAATTCCCCCCGCATGGCTCCTCCTAAAAGGAGAATGTGTTTGAATTTATCAGCTAGAAGAGAGCAGGTCTTGCTCTCTTCTAGCTGATAAATTCAAACACATGGATGACATCCCTGATAACCTATCTCCTCACAGCCCAATTTCCTTTCCTTTGTATTTCCAAACCCACATCTTTCTGTCTTCCTGCCAACAGTTTCGCCACACACAAAATTGTCCTTGCTGTAGTAATCTTTCAAAAAACACAAATATGAGCCCCTTGCTTCCTTTCTTGAAATTCTTCAATAACTCCCAACTGCCCTGATAAAATCCAAACTCTTCAACATAACTTACAAGATATGAGAATGGCGTGAACCTGGAAGGCGGAGCTTGCAGTGAGCCGAGATCACGCCACTGCACTCCAGCCTGGGCAACAGAGCAAGACTCCGTCTCAAAAAAAAAAAAAAAAAAAAAAAAAAGAAGACACACTTGAAAACTGGGTGATTTATAAAGGAAAGAGGTTTAATGGACTCCCAGTTCCACATGGCTGGGGAGGCCTCACAATCATGGTGGAAGACAAAGGAAGAGCAAAGGGACCTCTTACATGGCGGCAGGCAAGAGCGACTTGTGCAGGAAAATTTCCGTTTATAAAATCATCAGGTCTCGTGAAACTTACAACCACGAGAACAGCACAGGAAAGACCCGCCCCCATGATTCAATTACCTCCCACCGGGTCCCTCCCACAGCATGTGGGAATTATGGTAACTACAATTCAAGATGAGATATGGGTGGGGTCACAGCCAAACGATATCAAACCCTCACTCAGATCTGCGTTCTCTTAGTTTATTCACACTTCTAACAAGCATGTGTGTTTTTCCAAGATGACGGCAGATTAGAAGCACCAAATTAAAGTGGCAAAGAGTTTCTACAGAATACTGATACTGATGGTTTATCAGTAGTGAAAGAAACTGGAAAATTATAAAAAGCAAGTCTAGATACTCAGTAAGGGAAGTAATCTGAAGCTGCTTAGTGCAGATACAAACTCTTCTGCTTAGCCAATAGCCCTGAAGATCAGCATATTATGTGATATGGTAGAATCTGCACCTTTCACAATGATGAAGCTAATGATAAACTATTTTCATTGTACTCAATTGCAAGAAGGCATGAGAATATGCAGTACTGTTTAGAATAATTTTCTTATACACTGGTCAATGTAAAACAAATTTTTAAGTATTGGTACTTGAATTAATAAAATATTAGTTAAAAAGAAAGTTTAACTCTCCGAAACAGTGCCCTCTTGTGGGTTTCATTAACTGAAGTTTGACTCCAGAGGGAAAGAATGACCACTCCACCCTAGAATTCTCTGCACCAATTTTTAAAATAATAAAAAAATTTTGAAATACAAGAGAAATATATATTTTTTTATAAAAATACAGATAAACCAAAGGAAGAAAAAGAATTACACACAATCTCATTTTTCAAAGATAACCACTCACATTTTAAAAGATTTTTCTTCTATATTTTCACTGTCTATACATATGGATATGAGTTTTTAAACAAAAATGTTGCTTATTTACAGTTTTTGTGAACTTGTTTCCACATATCATGAGGATTTTAATGTAGAAAATACAATCAGCATCATCATTTGAATGTCCACAATCCGTGCTATTTTATGGTTGGTCTGTGTGTTACGCAAATGTCTGTTGAACATTTGCGTTATTTCAGATTTTTCTGCTCCTGCTCTGATTCTGGGCCCCAGGGTGACTTTGTGGCTGATGCTGGACCCATTCTCTTTGGTTTGCTGGGTTCTCTGTGACTTGAAAGCATGATACATCTCCTGCTAGGGCCGTTGCGACTTGTAATAATGGCGCTTTGTGGTTTAACGAGAACAGGGCTCTATTAATCCCTCTTTGTCTGACCTCAGCCAACCTCGCCCTCAGTGGAAGCAGGATTCTTAGGCCCTTGGGACCCTATTGAGCTGTTGTCATAGTGATTGGTGCCAGGGGCAGGGTCACTGGGCCAGTGTCCCTAACCAGACCATCTCTGTCTTAATGACACCCGTAGATCACAGTTGTTCATTCCCAAGCGTGGCAAGAAAAGGGACTAACAGGCTACAAGGCCAGCATTTGGTCCGACTGCACAGAGGCTGGGCTGTTGAAGCTTTCTGAGGCCTGGCATTACTCTCCCCAGGAAGGAAGCTTAACTGATTTGGCCAAAGAGCCCCCAGGGGTCCCCCTGGGACCACTCTCAGGCCCCTGAGGGCTCGCATCTGGAATCAGCTCTCACTGCTGTAACTAAGGCTCACAAGGAACGCAGGCAGACAGGCTGCCTGTGACTTCACAGAGTGGAACTTCTTGTCACTTGATGGCAGGGCTGAATGAACCTTGGAGATTATCAGGCCTGTCTCCCTGGGGAACAGATGGGGAAACTGAGGCACAGGAGCTGGACCTGATGCTGGCATATCAAGGGCACAGTGCTAATCAGGCAGTCCCTCCCTACCTCCCACCTCCAAAGAAGAACATGTTTGGAGTCTCTTGTAAAACAATTGTTATTTTTACTGTAAGCTTTTAAAGTCAGATCTTTAAAAAAAAAAAAACAGAGTGTGTGTGTGTGTGTGTGTGTGTGTGTGTGTGTGTGTGTTACACAAGAAGTCCATGAATACATTTTCCTTGAAAATAAAATGGAACATGGCAGATAAGGCTCAAAGCCCCTTTGACCTCTGTCCACAATCCCAGCCTGCCTCCAGAGATAGCATCCCGGTTTGGTGTGTATCCAAATCTGATTTTAAAATACCTAAAGCTCATTTGCCTGCCTTGGGTGGCCTGGACAATTGGGGTGACACAGGCCACGTCCCTAACTGGGCACGAGCCCAGGCAGCTCGCTGGGACAGCGTGCACCCGTTGGCTGCCTGTGGCTGGCAGGATTGCCAACATGGGATGTACTTCCCTGCTCCAGGGCAGGGGAAGGGAGGAAGAGTGGGACCTGTGGGTACTGCTGTGTCCTCACTCCCCCTGGGGCCAGGACAGCTCCTCCACCTTCTTGTCCCAGTTCCTGTTCCAGAATCCCAACAGCCCCAGCTACTGGCCCGGATTGGTTGCCGGGAGTCTGAAAAGAATAGACACGTTTCCACCAGGATTTAGCAGTATCTCCAGCAGGCTACAGGCCCCCAGGGGCGGTGCTGAGGTTGTGGGCTCCTGCGCTTGTCTCTGGTTTCCACCGACCTCACCCCATTCCCCCCACTCCCCACTGCCCTCCCTAGCATCTGTCCCTTCCCTCCCGGGACCCCTTGTCAGGGAGAAGCTCAGCTGACCATCTCAGTACTCCCTGGAGAAGAAAGGGGGAAGTTTACAAGAAGAATATAAAGAGCCCAATTATATATTCAAAGAAGTACCGGCCGGGCGCGGTGGCTCACGCCTGTAATCCCAGCACTTTGGGAGGCCGAGGCGGGCGGATCACGAGGTCAGGAGATCGAGACCATCCCGGCTAAAACAGTGAAACCCCGTCTCTACTAAAAATACAAAAAATTAGCCGGGCGTAGTGGCGGGCGCCTGTAGTCCCAGCTACTCGGGAGGCTGAGGCAGGAGAATGGCGTGAACCCGGGAGGCGGAGCTTGCAGTGAGCCGAGATCCCGCCACTGCACTCCAGCCTGGGCGACAGAGCGAGACTCCGTCTCAAAAAAAAAAAAAAAAAAAAAAAAAAAAAAAAAAAAAGAAGTACCGGTCCCTGGCCTGTTAGGAACCGGGCTGCACAGCAGAAGGTGAGCAGCAGGCCAGTAAAGCTTCATCTGTATTTACAGCCACTCCCCATTGCTGGCACTACTGCCTGAGCTTCACCTCCTGTCAGATCAGCGGCAGCATTAGATTCTCACAGGAGTGCGAGCCCCATTGTGCATGCGAGCCCTTGCTCATTCAAGAGATCTTGGTTGTGTGCTCCTTATGAGAATCTAATGCCTGACGATCTATCACTGTCTCTCATCCCCTGAAGGTGGGACCATCTAGTTGCAGGCAAACAAGCTCAGGGCTCCCACTGATTCTACATTATGGTGAGTTAGATCATTATTTCATTATATATTACAACGTAATAATAATAGAAATAAAGTGCACCAAAAATGTAATGTGCTTGAGTCATCCCGAAACCATCCCTCCATCTCCAGTTTGTGGAAAAATTGTCTTCCGATTTTTGTCTTCCCTGATGCCAAAAAGGTTAGGGACCGCTGAAGTAGGGGACCTGACCCCCAACTTTTAGCTGCCTGACCTACCCAGCCAGGATTGTCCCTCCTCACCAGGGCTGAGCCTGGCTCTAGGCACTGAGGCAGGGAGTCTTCGATAAGGAGGCAGCCGGCTCCCCTGCCAGGCCCTCTCATCACAGCCCAGAAAGGATCATAAAAATCTTGAAAACAACAGCAAGGGTTTACGGGCTGGGAAACAGGAAGCAGGTCTTCTTTCCTTGAATCCTCCTAGTCCCATTCTATGAGAACCATCTATGATCTCAGTGCAAACTATCTAGATTTCCATAATAAATGCATAGATACCATATTCAGCACTTTCCAGGGTTGTTTTTCTTTAATCAGCAAGAATTTTTTTTTTTTCTCAAGCAAAAAATCTTCCCCAGAGCGTTGACATGCATGGCATATAAAATCAGTAAGAGGGGAGGTTTCTCCATGTGGAGAATTCTGCTTGGCAGAGGTACTCTAATGTTCTGTGGAATCGCTGAGGTTTCTACAGCACAGTTTGATCACCTCTCATGGAAATCAACTTCCTTTTCTTAGAGCTGAGAACGCCAACGTGGAAGGTGAAGGCTTGCTGAAACCCCCAGCAGGTCGGTGGTAGAACCAGGAAGGCCCATGTCACCTGGAGCTCCGTCCAGGGCTCTAAAACCAGTACAAGGCCTTCCTTAGCCTGAAATGATAAATTTAGACAAAATCAGAGCTATGAGGACACTTTGCTAGTCCAAGGCTGCCAGGGGAATGGTGTTGCCGTGGTTACTCTGGCCCAGGAAGTGACCTTTTGCTCCAAAGTCCTAGAACAGAGGCCTGCTTCCTGCTGGGCTCAGAGAGAAGGTCAATAAGGGGATGGCCAGGACTGTGGCCAAGGGCCTCATGCTGCTTCTGGCCTGTAAACTGCATGTTCTGAGGCCATGTCATAAACACAGAGGGGACCCTGGGGCCCTGGAGTGGCGGCCTGTGTCTCCCCTGGGCCTCCCTTTTAAGGAGGGATTAGAGATGACTCCAGCTCAGGCCTTTTATGTGGCCTTAATGGGAACCATGGCTGGATCCTAAACACATTCAAGTTGCCCAAATCCTACCCACAGAGTCCAGGGAGCCATGGCACCTGCTGGCTGCCACGGGTCTGCAGTGAAAGATTCTGATGGGGTACCTATGAGGGTCCAGCCCAGGAAATGCAGAGGGGGAAAAACACCAGGCCCTGAAGGAGCTGAGATTTGTGTGTAGGACAAACGGAGAAATGGGTGCTTCAGACACAGCAGGAGGAAGGCTGTGATGGGTAGAAGGACAGAGTACAGCACAGAAAGGGGAAGAAGGGACCACTCTGCTCACATGTATGTGGGTGGGGGGAAGAGATAAAAGTAATTCTCTTAGTCCTTTCAAGCTGCTATAAAAACTGCCATAGACTGGGTGATTATAAACAACAGCAATGTATAGCTCACAGTTCTGGAGGCTGAGAAGTCCAAGGTCAAGGCATCAGTTGATTTGGTGCCTGGTGAGGGCCTGCTGTCTGGTTCACAGATTGCTGTCTTCTCACCATGTCCTCACATGTGAAAGTGGCAAGGCAGCTCCCTGGAGCCTCTTTTATAAGGTCACTAATCCTATTCATGAGAGCTTTACCCTCATGACCTAATCCCTGCTCTAAGGCCTCACCTTCTAATACCAGCGCCTTGGGGGTTTAGGTTTGAGCAGATGAATAGAATCTTGGAGGAACACAAATATTCAGATAGTAGAATAAGCTTCCTGGAGGAGGCAGTATCCTAGCTGGGGTCTTGAAGGAGTTTTGACAAAGCAGCTAGTATCAAAATACTAAAGGGCCAAGGCAGGAGCGAGAGGTATCTGGTACACCCAGAGGTGGGATTAGAGCAGTGTCACGGGGAAGGAGGGGAGAGTTGTGAGAGCTTTAGAAATTTGAGTCACATCCTGTGGGTCAGCGGTTTTCAAGCTACTGTGCCCTAAGGAGCCCTAGGTTTGATGAAAAGACCTCAGGGCAAGAGGTAAGCTCTGGACCACTCTGCTTTACATTTCAGGACTCCACACAGGATCACCTTTGAACTAAGGTCCCAGTGATTAAGAAAGAACGTGGGAAACTGTCATCAGCCATGCGGGAAGCTCTTGTTGGTTAGTCTAAGGCTCTGTCTCCTGGTATGACCTTTTTTTTGGCCACTTGGAGGTGTCAGGGGCCCCAAGAGGCCTGCTCCCCTGATGGGCCGTGATGGATGGACGTGACCATCACCTCTGCCCACTTCCCTGCCCAGCAGGGGACTGTGGAGACAACTCCAGCCAGCGGCTTCCTTGGCTTTGAGGCTAGTTGTCTGTGGTCTCATTTGCATTTATGTCACGGAAGAGTCAGCAGGAACCAAAGATAGACCTAGGGAAGAAACCAGCCATGTCGAGGAAGGGCCGCAGCACAGAGCAGGCTGCAGTCCCTTCGCAGAGAGTCAGGCAGGCAGGCACGGGCTGTGGCCAGAATCACTGGTTGCTACAGGATCAGCAAGGCCCAGCCGAAACCCTCCCTCCTCCAGGAAGCCCTCCTGCTGCCTCAGGGGAACTCCCTCTTTCTGCGCCTCTGTGCCTCTGTTAGAGCAGGAGTCACTGTGAGGAGGAGGAGGATGATAGGGTTCTGCTCCTGGTGAGTGCCTGGTGAGGAATTTTCTATGCATGACCTGGACCCCCAGGGCACCTTTGTACAAATTAGAAAAGGATCCCCCTTCCCGTGGGTAGACACAGCTCTGTCCCAGGGTAGTTACAGCTGTGTCCCAGGGTAGACACAGCTCTGTTCCCGGGCCATGGCGTTTCTGTGGGTCACAGCCATCTGTCCAGACTGAAAAGGAGACAGCTGCTGTGATCTCTGCCCACAGCTGGGAAACTGAGGCCATGTCACATTAGGGCACCTTCTCCCAAGGCTGCCGAGGCTCTCACTCCCTGCTCCAGCTGTGCAGGCTACAAGAATGTCTCCCTCATTCAGGGAAGTGGCATGCCGGGCTCTGTCTATCCCGAGATGCTATGATCTGAGTGTTTTTTTACTCCCGACAACGTGTATGTTGAAATTCTCTCCAGCAAGGTGAGGGTATGGGAGGTGGGGCCTTTGGAAGAGATTAGGGCATAGGACAGAGCCCTCCTGTTTGGGATTAATGCCCTTATAAAAGAGACCTGAGGAAAACCCCCTTGCCCCTTCCATCCATGAAGATGCAGCAAGACAGCCCCCTCCAGGAATCAGAGAGCCAGCCCTCCCAGACACCGAAGCTGCTGACACCTTGATCTGGAACTTTCAGCCTCCAGAACTGTGAGAAATACATGTCTGCCATTTCTAAGCCACCCCATCCACGGTATTTTGTTGTAGCAGCCTGAATGGATTGAGATAGGGGACCTCACTTCCAGCGAGTCTCAGAGGGCACTTGGCTAGGCCCAGCTAGAGGCTGGCCTTGTTGCTGCAAATCCTGAGCCAGAGGACAGCCTCTTCTACCAAGCACTATGGCCACCTGAGAGACAAAACACAGAGCAGGGCCCTAGCCTAACTGCCCTGCAACTTCAACCCCAGCATAGGGAAGGAGCCATCTCTCCATTGGGTCATTGATGCCTTCCCAGCAGGCAGGCCATGCCAGCTGCCTCAATGCACCAAAGTAAGCTCAAAAAGGATTTGTGATGCCATCAGCCACTCATTTCAGACCCATTCACCTCCTCCAGGATCTTTTCTCTATCATCAGGCATCCATAGACTCACGTGGACGTGTTGCCCAAAGCCCACTCACAAAGCATCTAACCCAGCCTTAGCACACCTGGGCCCCCACTCTCCCCACACCCATGGCAGATGTCACTAATGGATCACTGCACTTCTTCCTGTTAAGCCTGGATTGAACCTCAGAATCCTTCTCAACCCAGTGGCACAGCCAGAGCCATCTGAGTTGGAATGTGTAAGATGCAAGCTATTGTAGCCATCCCCGATGGGTCGATGCCCAGATTTAAAGATGACAAAACTGGGGACCAGCAACAGGAAGGAAATTGTGCCAGTCACAGAGCCCATCAGCAGCAGAGACATGGCAAGAAGCCCACGTCCCTCTTCTGAAATGGAGGCTGTGGTGGTTTTCATCAGGGAAGTTTTAGGGGACTCTTCACAGTTAGTGTTGCAGGCCCTGGGGCAGCCCTTGTACATTCCTTCAATGCCGGCCCTGGAGGACCATATCCCAGGCTTGAGTGCATCAAAAGGACCCACTCTTCCATCCCCGTGGCGGCTCCAGGGACCAGCAGGGGCAGCAGGGCAGGCCTGACCTTCATACACAGTTCCCTGCACACACTCGGCTAACTGTGACCAGGGTGAGAGCGGGCGCAGTGGGGGAAGGTTGTGGGAGGAAGGGTCAAGGGCCTCTGGTGACTCATGATGTGGGCTCAGGGAGTGTTGGCTGAGCCAACATGTCTGGCTCGAAAAAGAGGATCACCAGAGGCTGAAGTGCGGGGGCCTCATGAGAACCGAGGTACACCAGGAGCTCAGAGGTGGGGCCAGCATGTTCTGGGGGTGTCTACAAAGGCTTCCGGCAGCTCAGAGTTCAGCCTGAGCAAACTCTTGCTCATTCATTCACTCATTCATTCAGCCAAGGTCAACTAGTGTCAAGCGTTGTTCTAGCCGCTGGGACACAGCAGTGAACAAAACTGACAAAACAAGCCTGTGGCCTAGGGGAGGGGAGACAATGAACAACATAAATGAGGAGAAGGCCGGCACGTGTGATGGTGATGAGTGGTAAGGAAGAGAGAAGGCAGGTGAGGAAGAGGGAGTGTTCCGGGAAGGTTGCAAGTTTAGACAATGTGGCCAGGGAGGGCCTGGCCATACCAAACAATTGACTAAACCTGACGATGCTGATGGAGGAAGCGTGTGGACCCTGGGGGAAAGGCCAGCATCTGCCAAGGCCCTGAAGCAGGAACATGGTGTGCTGGGGGGACAGTGGGGGGACAGGGCTGGAGGTCAGGGGTGGTGGGGTAGACAGCGGGAGGTTGGAGGTCATGGATAAGGCCAGATCCTGAAGGGCCTTGAAGCACAGAGTAATGACTTGGGATTTTCCTTAAGGAGGTGATATCGTGGGTTGAATTCTTGCCCCCAAAAAAGCCATGTTCGCATCCTAACCCCTGGAACGTGTGAATGCGACTTTATTTGGAAAAGGAATCTGTGGATGAAATTAAATTAAGGATCTCAAGATGAGATCATCCTGTGTTATCCAGGTGGGCCTTAAATCCAATCACAGGTGTTTCTGTAAGAGACACACAGTGGAGAAGAGAAGGCCACGTGAAGGCTGAGGCAGGGATGGGCGTGGTGCTGCCACCAGCGGGGGAACGCCAGGAACTGGAAGAGGCAAAGAAGGACCCTCTGAGGGCGCAGGGTCCTGCTGACACCTCAACTTCAGACTTCTGGCCTCCAGGGCTGTGAGAGGAGACTTTTCAAGCCATCCAGTTTGTGGTCATTTGCTATGACTGCCCTGGGAAACTGATCCTGATGGGAAGCCCTTGGAAGCTCTTGAGCGGAGGAGGGACATGCTCTCCTGGGCTTACTCCTAGCTGCATAGGAGAGTCTGAGCCGGGCAGGGACAGAGCTGTCGGGGAGTCACTACGGTGATGCAGGTGAGTGAAGGCTAGAACTGTGATGGATGGGGGAGGTCAGAAGAGAGGGACAGGCCCGAAAGGGGAAGTAGGAATGGGCGGGGCGGGGCGGGGGAGGTGGATGGCCAGACAGGGAATCCCTTGAGGAAATCCAGGGGTTGTGGCGGATTTTGTGATGCAACCTCTGCCTCCCGCGTTCAAGCAATTCTAGTGCCTCAGCCTCCCAAAAAGCTGGGATTACAGACATGCATCACCATACCCAGCTAATTTTTGCAGCCCTCTGGGGGTTGCAGCAGCAGGGCACGTATGTGAGAGAGGGGCTCAGGAGAATAGTGTGACCAAGGGAGGTGTCCTCCTGGAAACCTTCACCCCAGCCTAGAAGCACAGGATAGGAACCAACTTCCTCCAGGGCCAGCTTTCTGGCCTGGATGCTGGGGCTGTTCTGTCCTTGGACCATCCATGGGACGTGATGTTGAACCGTCCCCCTAGGACCCACTAGCTGCTGTCAGATTTTACAGCCTCCCCCATGCAACCACCTGGGGTGTTCGCTGCTCAGAAACTCTCAGAAAGATCACACAGGGCCAGGTGCGGTGGCTCGGGCCTGTAATCCCAGCACTTTGGGAGGCAGAGGTGGGCAGATTGCTTGAGGCCAGGAATTCAAGTCCAGCCTGGCCAACATGATGAAACCACGTCTCTACTAAAAATACAAAAATTAGCTGGGCATGGTGGCGCATGTCTGCATTTTTTGGAGGCTGAGGCATGAGAATCACTTGAACACAGGAGGCAGAGGTTGCAATGAGCCAAGATCGCGCCACTGTACTCCAGCCTGGGTGGCAGAGCAAGACCCTTCCTCAAAAAAACAAACAAACACAATGGTCGACCAGAACTCCAAAGGGACAGAAACTGTCAGCAATGTGCATGGCTGGCCAGAACTTTGACAATAAACACCTGGCCTTGGTGCCACGGGAAACTTCCAAGTCTTGGGGCTCCCAGAATCCGAGTGCTTGTGGCTCTCTGGGGCTGGTGGCCACACCTATGTTTGAGGCTTTTTGTGGTCTGGTGGTGCACAGCTTCAAGCAAGACTCAATCCTGTTTCCATGAAGCAGAAGCGAGGCCTTGGAGTGTGCAGGGAGTGAGTGCCACGGGATGGCTGTTCTTGCCTGGGAAGATGACAAAAGGGCTCTTTCCTTGGCAGCTCCCGTGGAGGAAGGGGCTGGCAGCACCCAAGAACACAAGCACAGATGGAGGCGTCCCTCTCCAGTGGCTGGGGCAGGCTCTGATTCCGCCTCCTGCATTTGGAGCAGCTGTAAGCTATCAGGGCCTGGCTGGCTGGCTCCAGGCCTCCCAACGTAACCAGCCTGCCCTGCTATCCTGGCCTGAGGCTGGCATTCCTCCCATGGTCTCTGCAGCACTCATCATCGGCGCTCCTGCCACAGCATGGGGACCTGGGCAGCCTGATGGACAAATATTGGGCAGGGAGGTAGGGAGATGCAGTTTCCTGGATTCCCTTCCCTTTATTGAATAGGAATCTTTGCACCTAAACAAGTCTGTGTAGAGTCCAGATTGTGCTCTTTGTCCTTGGTCCAGGAGGTCCATCTCTTTGAGCATCAGTTTCCTCTAATGCCAAGTGGAGACAATAAATTGCCCTTTCCAGGGTCCCAACAAGGATTGCCAAAGTCAGCGTCCTTGGATGTCTAGCCTAGCTCAGGTGCCCAGGTGTTTGATAAGTTCTCACTGGATCCACACTGGGTTGACTCTGGATCTGTGGAAATTCATAGAGGCCCAGTTGCCCAGCCTGGCCCAGCCCACACGTCCAGCTCTGCCTATGAGAGGACCTGTCAGATGGGCCGGGCCATGCCATGAGGAAGAGGTGGAGTACGGGGACGTGACCTAATGAGGTTGACAGAGCAACAGCTGGAACCAGAGATCGCCAAGGGGAGCGAGGCTGTGGGGCTGCTCCGGGATGAGGGGGTGAGGCAGGGCCCAGAGGCATCGGGTCCCATCATCCTTCTACAGAGAAGGACAGCCCTGAGAGGCTGTGATAGTCTGTGATAGAAGGTGACTCCAGCCTCAGTAAAGAACAAACAGAGGATGCCCCACAGACACCACTGGTCTCTCCTGAGACCCTGGAAGGCTGGGTAGAGGTGGAGCTCACAGCTGACTCAGAAGTGAGGAAGATATGGGGAATGAGAATTCGGCTCAAGTCTGGAGCCGTGGCTGCACCAAAAAACACACACAGAGCCCGGGGGTGCAAACCACTCAGACAGGAAAACCAGGGCCAAATGCCCCCAGCTTCCACCTCAGCAGCCCCATCTGCTTGCCTGGAGGGCGGGGTGACTCCAGCACGGGCAGCCTGAGAGCTGCTGAGACCGGGTGGTCTCTGATGTGCTAGCCTCCTTCCTTTATTCATTCACTCTCCAGACATTAATTGAGCATTAACTCTTCACCAGACTCCTGGACACAGCAATGAACTGAGAGCTGCTGGGACCCATTGGTCCAGGGGGAACTACTGGAGGCTCCAGGACCCCCAGGAGTCTCAGTCATCTCTCTCTTCATGTGAGGCAGGAAACCCTCAACTGCCCCCACCCCAATTCCCCCACAATCCCGCCCCCAGCTGTGAGGAGTCTCCCTCCACCAGCTGTGAGGAGTCTGGGTCCTATAGCTGCAAGTCCTCCAGTTCTGGAAGCAGCCCTGTTCAGGAAGGGTGTGGTCTGGTCCATGCCTCACTGCCTTAGGATTTGAGCCACTTAGAATTCTCTATCCTCTGAATCTCAGGGTTGGGGGTGCTTATCACCCTAGAACTTGGTGTTTTCAGATCTGCAAAACACCTTAGAGCTAACAAGCTAACTTCCTGGCCCTTGGAAGCTGTCCAGCCTCACTGACCAGCTGCCGCTTATGGGGGTGTTGTCCCTCAGTCGATTTTTCAGAGTCAACCAATGCCAGGTCTGATCTCTTCATCGGCAGCCTCTAGCAGTGCCCACCTAGCATGCAGGGGAGCAGAGCTCAGTGACAGGGAACATGTGAAGAGCCCCAGGAAAGCTCGGCCTTTAGGTCATGTTCCACAGGGGTTTAGTGTCAAGAGTGAGGGAGGTTGGAGGTCTCGCCCATGTCAGAGCCCCCCAACAGCACAGTTTCAGAGAGACATTGGCACGCTGCAGGGTGCTCAGATGAGGATGTGTTGGACGGTGAAGGCCCTGGCAGTGACCACAAGGAGTGGCTGAACCTGGGATGGGCTATCCTGAGAAGTGAAGGCTCAGACTGGGGATGCACTCATTGCTGACCAATCTATGCACCCATCCATGCAAAGCAGGGCTAGTGGTCCATTCTGTGGCCCCCAGGGCAAGGCTAAGGCTGAATAGGGAGCAGAAAGGAGAGACAGTTTGATGCCCAGATGGAAGAAATGGAGAGATCAGTGCTGGGTTAGTGGTGACTTTGGGCCCAGCCCTGCCGACTCAGTGGTCAGCATCTGGTCCCCACTGGAGATCATGAGACAAGCACGAACGCCCTGGGCTTCCTCCACCTGGCAGCCCTCCCCCGGGGAAATCAGGCTCTCAGAAGGCTGAGCCTGCCTCAGCCTGGGACCTTGGGGACAGGCCTCTGTGAGGTTAGAGGGACCTCAGGCAAGCCTTCTGAGTAGAGATGTCCTGTGCCTTCGCCTCACATGGCTTTTAGGGAGCTTGCTTTTTGAGATGGTACTGACAGGCCAGAGAGGAGGGCAGAGGGGCTGCAAGCTCCCACATGGGCTGATGTGTGCTCCCAGGAGGGAGCTGAAACCCTGGGGCCTTGTGAGCCGCCAGCAGAAAAATCGGCTTGGAAGGCTGGGCGTGGTGGTTCACCTGTGTAACCCCAGAAAAATCGGCTTTGGGAGGCCGAGGCAGTCGGATCACTTCAGGTCGGGAATTCGAGACCAGCCTGGCCAACATGGTGAAACCCCGTCTCTACTAAAAATGCAAAAAAAAATTAGCCAGGCGTGGTGGCTGGTGCCCGTAATCCAGCTACTCGGGAGGCTGAGGCGGGAGAATCGCTTGAACCCAGGAGGCGAAGGTTGCAGTGAGCTGAGATGGTGCCACTGCAATCCAGCCTAAGCAACAGAGCAAGCAAACAATCGGCTTGGAATAATTCAGAAGACACTGTTTCTTGGTATGAGATAAAAGCATGTATATTATTTCAAAAGTAGCCTTTATTGTTTGTTCCAATTATAGAAGTAATACATGCTTGATATAGACAATTATGAAAATATAGAAAAGCATAGACAATTAACATCACTTTTAATCCTGTCACCTGTTGTAAACTATATTTTGGTCTTTTTTTTTTTTTTAACATCTTGGAGAGACAAGTCCACTTCCCTTGGTGACCAGCTTGGGGTGCCCTAGTATTCACAGGCTGGTCTCCGAGGACTGGATGAGAGTGCCTCCTATCCCCACCCCAAGGTGTCCCATGTCCTGGGGTGGGGATAAGTGTCCATGTCCTGGGTGGAGGAGATTGTGGAACAGCCAGATGGTTGGTGGAAGAGGCCCGGACGTTGAGACAGGGAGAAGATTTCTTTCCCAGAACAGAGCTGCCCATGCATGACATCCCCTCTGCCAAGGCACTGGGCTCAGTGGTCAGGCTCCCCACAGCTCCTGGCCACTTGGACTGTGCCTGTCACAGTGGTCTGATTCTTTTTACTTATTTATTTTTTTATTTTTTATTTTTTTGAGACAGAGTCTCGCTCTGTCGCCCAGGCTGGAGTGCAGTAGTGCGATCTCAGCTCACTGCAAGCTCTGCCTCCCAGGTTCACGCCCTTCTCCTGCCTCGGCCTCCCGAGTGCACAGTGGTCTGATTCTTAATCCATGGTCTCTGATACTTTCTGGGCCACTGACCTACCATGGGACCATGGCCACTGTCATTGGTGAACACAAACATCCTGCTCTCTTGCCCTCTCCCCGTCAACCTTTCGCCAGGCTCTTCCCAGGTTCCCAGCCTCACCTCTACCCTCTGAAACACTAAATGGGCTTGTGGCATCCCTACCATCCTCAGGAGAGCAGGGGATGGGGTCAGGGTCTTGCTCTCCCTGCCACAGATGGGCGTGGTTGATGGCCATCATGTTTCTATGTAGCTATGTCATTCATTCCTCTATACATGCTTCCTAAGAGTGGGCTCGTACGCTTTGCAGCCTCCTTTTTTCACTTTCGTTTCTTTTCCTTTGCATAAACATTCTTCAAAAAGACCACTTTAAATGACTGTGTCCTATGATCGTACAGACATATCATAATGTATTTATTCACCTATTGTAGAACATCTTGGCTTCCATGTTTTACTATTCAATACCCCCTTTATCAATCATCTTTGTACACAGTTTTTTGGTCTGAATTTCTCAATATTTCCTCAGAGAAAATTTCAAGACATTTACATTTTGTAGTTAAATATCCTTGATATGTGTTGCCAAAATGTTTCCAAAAGAGTTGCCCCTGACTGATATGCCACCCTCAGCCCAGGTTTGAGAGGGCTGGTGTTACGGTCTACACCAGCTTATGGTAACACCAATAAAGCCAGTCTCATGATCTGAAAGAGAAATAATGGTATTTCAAAATTATAATTGATACGATTATTAACGAAACGCAAATGTTCATACTTATTAAGCCGTTTAAAACTTTCTTGGTTGATTATCTGTTTTCTTTGCCTGTTTTCCTAACAAGGTTTTGATGGATTTATTTAAAAATCATTTGATGAGCTCTCTGTATGTTGTCATTTTGATATCTGTTGCATATATGTGTTGCTTAATTTTTGCTTTTGGAGGCTTTGAATGTACCAAAGCTTTATATTATTATATTGTCAAAGCTATTAGCTTTTCTTTTTGTGACATTGTTTGTTAGAAAGTCCTTCCTGGGAAATGGCTTTTTAAATGGGTCAAGAGCTTGCCTTTTCCTCCTTTGGGGCTCTCTATTTTTGGTAAATTCTAAACAAACATCCTTTTCCCAAATACCATTTTCCCGGGAACATCTGGAATGCGCTTGCTTTTATTTCTTCCTCCCCAGAGGACGGTGTATTGGGGTGGGAAGAGGCTGTCACACTGAGATGATCTCTGGGTGGAGAAACTGGACGGGGAAGCCCTGAGCTTCAGAAACAGCCCCTTCCCCAGCTTCAAGGTGGCTGTGCTCTGTTGTGAAAGATGTCTGATCTTTCCCGCCAAAAAAATAAAAACATTGTCCAAAAGCCTCTTTAATGTGATGTGTGTGCATTGTGAAGACGTTTTGAGAACGGGCATCAGACCCCCTCAAAGGGCAGGACGGTCCCGGCTCCTGGGAGGAGGAGGTGCCTTGAGGGCCTGTGAGTCCACACACATGGGTTTAGCCACTTACATCTCGCCATGAGGACACTGGAACCTCGGAGCCTGTAGCTGGGCCTCGGCAGTGCAGCCACGGTGTATGGCACTGCAGAGTGTTTGCTAGGCTCAAAGCCGGAATCTGCGAGTTCTAGCCCCAGCCCTGCCTCCTCCCAGCTGTGTGACTTCTAGGGGTCTCCTTTCCATGAAAGGAGGAGCAACACCCACCATGCAGGGTTGTGTCAGGATCAGACAACATGTGCTGTGCCTGGCACACAGTAGGTGCCGTGCCTGACACACAGTAGGCATGATGGTATGTATTCATCCCATGACGGGGCTGCTGTTGCAAGCGAACGGTATTGTGCACGCTGTCACTTGGGAAACGAACAAGGCAAAATGGCCAAGCGTGGGGCTGGAAGAAGAGCTGGGATCACTGCAGGACGTTAATGGTTATTTTTCTAGTATTTGGAGATAGCAGCTTCTCGGTCCTTCAAAGCATGAAGCAATGGATTTTAGAACAGGAAATCTGATGTTGTGGCAAAGCAAAGAGGCTTTGAAGTCAAGAGCTGAATTCCTATGTTTCTGGGTCTGCCACTTGCTAATCGTGTGACCTTGGGCAAGTTACTTATCTTCTCTGAGCCTGTTTCTTCATCAGAAAATGACACTATTAGCAGTGCTCTTCTTGTAGTGCATTGTAGGGATTCAGTTATGCTTGTAGAGTTAAGGCAAATATATAGTTATCTTCCAGACCGGGACACTCGAGAGTAAAAGGAGGCACTGTTGATCATTGTATTAGTAACCCAGGATTGTCCCAGGCAAATGGGGGCATATGGCCACACTATGTAAAGGGCTCAGCCTAGCGCTGAGCTCTGAATAAACCCTCAGTGATGTGAGCCGTGCTTGTGAGCTCTCTCCACAGCTGCAGAGGCCCACATTGGACCTAGAGGAGAACCATCGACTTGTCAACAGAGAGCTCTGGACAGAGTGGGAGGAGGGGCTGAGCTCCTCAGCCACGGCTCTGAGGTGGCAGCCACAGCCTCGCCACGCTGTGCCCTTTTGGAGGTTGTCCTTGGTGGGAGGAGGTGATGAGGGAGCAAGTACCTTTCCCAAGGTCACTGCAGGGGAGGCCCTGCTTAGATTGTCCCTCTCCATTTTCTGTCCCTTGGGAGCAAGTTAAAACCAACTCTACACAAGCCAAAGGCTTTGGTTCCAGCCTGAGTCTGGCCCTCCCTTCATTTGCTCCTCTGTGGCCCACACACTGCAGCATCTTAGCGACTCCAGAGGTCACCACCTCATCCCTCTTATCCTTGAGAAGAGCCCTCATCCCTTCCAAACCCAAAGTGAACAGACATGTGGTGTGCATGTCCCTCCAGCCCCATGAGCATAAACACATTCCTGAGCCTGAGCAGGACCCAGGAATGACTCAGGCTTCAGGAATGTGCAATCGGATCCATGTCACTTGGGGGGCAAATTCCTAAGGTGAGCAGTTAGCGGACCAAACCAAGAAGCCCTGGATCAGCTTCTGCATCTTTCAAGGAGAGTCAGGGGTCTGGACTGGCTCCAGCAGAAACCACCTCTTGCCATTGCCACCTCTTGGTTCTGCTCCTCCCCTGCTGACCCGAAGAGCCTTATGCAGTTGGCGGGGGATGGTGGTGCAGGGGCAGAAGTGGTGCACAATGGCCCCCATTCCATGTGCAGGTTCAGTGCTCAGAGAGCTGGAGCAGGCAGGCTGAGTCAGCAAGGGCAGGAGGCTGGAGCAGAACTGTGGCAGGGACCGGCACACCCCAGTCCTTCCCCAGCCCATTCCCTGAGCAGTGGGAGGAAGAGATGCCTCTAGATATAGGGTGATTAGAACATCTCTCTTCTGCCAGCATGGCTGGGCCATGGCCTACTGGCCTCCCCAGCACAGCCTCTGGGAAACTGGCTGCTTTCTAGAAGCAGCACCAGGAAGGGTGCAACTCCATGTTATCTATACCCCACCTGGCCCAGCCTACAGGGAGTCTCTGGGGACACAGCCCTGTGTCCTCGCTCAGTGCCACAGAACAATTTAATAAGCAATCTCTTACAATCGCAGAAGAAATCCCACATCTAATGGTTCTGAGGGTGGCCCTGTTGCTGGAGGGTCAAAACACTAATTATGCCCGAGTCTGTGAGCCTGGCACCAAATATGGTGACATTCAGAAACCCGGAGCCGTGGGACACAGATAGGAAATGCCATCTCCATATATTTGACATTGTGCAGGTGCTATGCTGGCCAGGTCCCAGGAGTGACCTTCCTTCCAGGTGATCTCAGACCAGTCAGGGAGACCATGACCCTGACAGCACGGTCCACTGAGCACTGGCAGGACCGAGCCCCAGGTGTCATGATGAGAGGCTCCTCTGAGGGCTTGGGGGCCACACTGAGGCCCAACATCTGAATACCCTTCCTCTACTGGGGGACTCACAGGGACGGAGGAGAGCCCAGGTCCTCCCACCATGAGAGATGATGTGGGCTGGTGCCTCCTCCCCACTCCTTTGCCACAGTGATAAGACATGGGCTTGACCCGCTGGCCCCTTCTCTCTGGACTTTGAAGCTGGAAGGAGCGGTGCCAGGCTTCAGGGAGAGGTGCTGAGAATTGGTGGGGCTACAAGAACTCAAGAATCCAGCAGCGTCCCTCCAGGGGTGACAGGTCCAGGTGTGCTGCCCCCATAGTGAGAACCAACTGCGCCCCTCCCTGGTTCCTGCCTGGCTCTCCAGCCTTCCTGATAACCCAGTAAGCTGCCCCCATAGTGAGAACCAACTGCGCCCCTCCCTGGTTCCTGCCTGGCTCTCCAGCCTTCCTGATAACCCAGTAAGCTGCCCCATATCCTTTCATTACAATCCTTTTCTATGTGAGTTAGCCAAAGCTGGTTTCTGTGGATGGCATCGGAAGGTGAAGTGCAATGGGACAACCTGTGCCCAGGCTGGGGGCCTGAGAAACTCAGCTCAGGACAGCTCAGAGGGGTTGTTCAGAAGTGAGGGACCACAGTGCATGGCACATGCCTGCTCCATCGCCCCTCCTTGCTCAGGACCTGAGCAGAGGCTGGGGGTGGCTGAGGGTCTTGGTTCTGGGTGGAGGGTGGGCTTGGGCTCTCAGGTTAGGCTGAGTAGCAGGTAGGCCCAGGGTGTGAGGAGGGTGTGCAGGCAGGCCCAGGGCCTGGTAAGTGGCAGAGGGTTGGGACTCCTCCTGGCCTGGCTGGAGCAGGCAGGCTTGTAGGCACTGGAGGCTCTGACCCTGCCAAAAGGGTCCCTGCCTGTGTCTGAACCCCTCAGGGAAGAGGAGACCCAGCACAGTGGGCGTTTGTTCCTGTGTGACACTGCCCTTCCCTGGAGCAGGATGAGCTGAGCCCAGCGAGCTGAGGTCACGTCTGCCCCATGACAATCCTCCCACTGTCCCTCAGTTGGGACATACAGTGCCATCCCAGCTGCCCCTTAGCTGATCTCCTAGATGCCTGTGAAACCCGAGTGGAAAGAGGGTGGGTGGGGTCCCCTGATGCCAAGGATGGGGGTGCAGAGAAAGGGACCATGATGTAATGGGCTGACATGAGGGGGAGCACTGCCTGTCTCTGGGGACCTCTCAGCTGGAAATGGAGGAATTCAATGACTTCCTCCCCACACCAGACATCTGCAGGGCACTCTTAGAGCCTGCTACCCCCACCCCTCCCTCACTTATCTGTGCTGCCTGAGAGGCCCACCCTCCCCCTAGGACAGCTCTCCCCTACCAATCTCTCTCAGCCACTCCCTGCACACCTCCGGTAGACCAGTCCCCAGCTCCATCCATGTCAGCTCTCCTTCTAGAGGCTGTGAGCCCTGGAAGGCTGTGCTGAGCTTCCAGAGGCTCTGAGCACAGGAGGCTGTGTCTCTCAAGGCTATTCTACACTGCCTGGGGCTTCACTTTCTTTTCAGTGGAATGGGAGCCTTCGCCTCCAGGAAGGCAGCCCACAGTGTGGTGGTCACACCCTGCATAAATCCTCTCCTTGGTGTGGGGGCACCGGTGACTTATTTCTAACCAACAGAATCTGGCAAAGGTGAAGGGATTTTGCAAATGTAATTGAGGCCCCAAATCAGTTGACTTTCAGTTAATAAAAACAGACTATTTTGTGCAGGCCTGGCTCAATCAGGTGAAAACCCTTGTAACAGGGACTGGGCTCTTCCTGAGTCGAGTACCTCTCCTTGCAGGCTTGATGGAGTAAGCAGCTAACTCATGAAAGCCCACCTGGTAAAGGCCACAGGCAGCCTCTAGAACCTGAAATTGGCCTACAACTAGCAGCAGAAAAGCTAGGGCCCCCAGCATACAGCTGCAAGGTAGTGCATAGGTGGAAACAGATTCTTCCCCACTTGAACCTCCAGATGAGATCACAGCCCAGTTGACACCTTCATTACAGTCTTGTGAGACCCTGAGCAGAGGATCCAGGTAGGCTGTGCCCAGACGACTCAACCACAGAAACTGTGAGGTAATAAAGGTGTGTTGGCTGGGTGCGGTGGCTCATGCCTGTAATCCCAGCACTTTGGGAGGTTGAGGCAGGCAGATCACCTGAGGTCTGGAGTTTGAGACCAGCCTGGGCAACATGGTGAAACCCTGTCTCAACTAAAAATACAAAAATTAGCCAGGCATGGTGGTGCACGCCTGTAATCCCAGCTACTTGGGAGGCTGAGGGAGGAGAATTGCTTGAACCCAGGAGGCAGAGATTGCAGTGAACCAAGATCACACCACTGCACTCCAGCCTGGGTGACAGAGCAAGACTTTGTCTCAAAAAAGAAAAGAAAAAGAAAAAGAAATAAATATTTGTTGTTTTAAGCTGCTAAGTTTGTGGTAATTTTTAATGTAACAATAGAACACTAAATAGAACACTAATACAGACAGTGAGATAAATGGAAGGCTTCGGAATGTCAGGCTGGAGCTTGGAGAGGGAGTGGATGTCTTGACTTCTCCAAGATCAGAACACTGATCCAAAGCCCCCATCAGGCCAGAGGCAGCAGCTGAACAGTGGGCATGCTCTGAGACTGAGGACTGGAGCTGGGCCGGGTGTGAGAGCCTGCACTGGGGCCTGTTTTCCAACTTTTGCGGAAGACAGCCTGCTCTTTGGGAAGGATGTTGCCTGGAGTGCATGCCTGACAAGCTGGCATCTGCATGGGACACTAACCTGGGGCTGTGCCTTCAGCAGTGGTATCCTTGGGTCTGGGCCAATATCCGTGGTGTGAGTTCAGCAGGCATGGGACTCTTGTTCACATGGTCCATGCACACTGAACTTAAATATTGATTTTCAAGAATAACTTCCAGGTTGCTCATCACTTGTCTGCCTGGGTGTTTACTTCCACCAGCAGCTCCTGAGGGTTTCTTTTACCCCCACTTTCTTTGTCAGCACTTGATATTATCTGACTTGGTAATTTTTGCCAATCTCATAAGTGTAAAGGAGAATCTCACTGTTTTAATTTGCATTTCTCTGATAACTAGCGAGGTTGACAACATCCTCATGAACTTGTTAGTCATTTAGATTTCCCTTTCTGTGAATTCTTTTTATAACCTTTGATTCCTTTTAACAAATTAATTTTTGCTTCCCCACCCCACCAAAGTTTCTTTTCTTTTTTTTTCTTTTTTTGGAGACAGAGTCTCGCTCTGTCACCCAGGCTGGAGTACAGTGGCACAATCTTGGCTCACTGCAACCTCTACCTCCCAGGTTCAAGCAATTCTCCTGCCTCAACCTCCTGAATAGCTGGGATTACAGGTGCACACTGATACGCCTGGCTAATTTTTTGTATTTTAGTAGAGACGAGGTTTCACTGTGTCGCCCAGGCTGGTCTCGAACTTCTGAGCTGAGGCAATCCACCCGCCTCGGCCTCCCAAAGTGCTAGGATTACAGGCATGAGCCACCACACTCAGCTTCCCCCTTGGAAGTTTCTAAAGGCCTCCAGCTTGTTTGAAACCCAGGGGCAGGCCCTCAGCCTTGCCTTGCTTATTCTTGCATCTCTGCCCAGCTTAGCCACTAGGCTGTGTGCCCTCTGCTCCAGTCCTTGCCCCCTTGGGGCTGTGTCCCTGGGTGTGGGCCAAATTGTGGGTAGACTGTGGGTATGAGTTCAGGGAGTTTCTGCCCTAGATAAGGGTATGTAGATTAGGATAGAAACAGATCCACAAACAAAACATTTTCACTTACATTTTAAAGGCAGGAGGAAGAGAGAAGTGGGAAGGAAAGATCACATGCAGAACCTTTGTAGGTGCAAGGCCTGAGCCTGGAACTTTATGTGCCTTACGTTAGGTCATCCTCACAATAGCTTTGTCTTTTTTGAATGATTTTCTCCATTTGAAAAATGAAGACAGAAGAATCAGTGAGTCTTGGAGACTTAAACCATGGCTCAGAACCCAGGTTTTCTGCTTCCCAGCCAGGCCCTGGTCCTGGAGGGAGGGTATTCCCGTGGGACTTGTGGGTAGGTGACTTGGTATTGGTTTTCCTCTTGTCACAGGGTCCCAGGCAGCTCAGTGGGCCCCCACCTCCCAGAAAGAGTATGGGTTATGGAGGACTAGGGAGAAAACACAAATGACCCCATTGAGCCTGGTATGCCGGGGGGCTTCCAAGGCAAACAATGGCTCTCTGTGTCTGGTTTCTCTGAGGGCCGGAAGTCTCCAATGCATGGCCAACTGATGAGTCATGCAGGATATCTCCTGGGCCCAGCTTTGTTGTGCCGGAGGATCTTTCAGCCCAGCCTGAAATGGCAGATGATCTCATCAGGCTGGATCTGGGGAAGCCCTGTCTCTCGAAGTCCCGGTAGGCTCACGGCCCACTAACAGCCAGGAGGCTGGATGCTCTGGCCTTGAGACAGTTCCCGGAGGCACCCTATAGATGCTGGGCAGCTGCCGCCAACCCTCAGCCAGCTCGGATGGAGCCAGCCTGGAGGAAAAGGCTCCTGTGCTCATGGAACCCAGGGAAACCCCCGCTTTGTTCTCTCTGGACACAGCACGTGTCTGGTGGCCGCCCAGCCTCAGCTGTGTCCTGTAGAGTTTCCTGGACTTAACAGAAGCCTCCAGATGAGCATATTAGGAGTGCCCCAGGGAGGACTGACCTGAGACCGGAAGGAAGTCAAGGGCTTCAGTGGCCACCAAACCTGGCTCAGCCTGTGAGGCTTGGGAGGGGACACCGCCTGACTTTCCACTTGGCTGCCTTCAACAGAGGTTTCAGAAACAGAAAGCCTTGTAGTACTGAGGCTATTTTTAATGTTTTGAACCTGGACATTGCTGTTACTGTTGATGTTTCATGTACACCCCACTGGTTGATACAGAGCATGGCTCCAGAGTCACAGCTACACACCCAGGGACTCTGGCCTTGAGCAAATTACTTTCCCATTCTGAGCCTCAGTTTCCTCCCCTGTCCAGTGCAGGTGGCAGTACTGCTCCCAGGGCTGTCATGAGCATGTAGGAGATTGCCTACGCCCAGTGCCTCACCCATGGCCAGCCCTCAGTGAATGGTGGTCCTCTCTCTTCTCTTCATTCCTCTTGAGCTTTGAAGAGGTTCTTGGCTGGGCATCTATTCTTATTCACCTCCCAGAGGGTCTGGCCTGAACATGTTCCTTGGGAATGCCCATCTTTCCTCGGGATATAGGTGGTGTGTGGGGCTGCCTGCGAGAGCCTCCGGGCAAGAACTGCCCCGGTTGTCCAAGGGCCAAAGATGGTGTCATCACTGCCCTCAGCTGGGGCTCTACTTCTGGTTGGTTACCATGGTGAGCAACTTTTCAGAGGACAGCCCAGAGAGACATGCTAGGGTAGAGCCTCAGGGCCCAGGTAATAGGTGTGGGGCTCTGCCCTGAAAACCATGGAGACCAAGTCCCCTCCTATGAAGACTGCATCCCATCCCGCCTCTGAGGGCAGCCCTGGAGCCACTTAGGAGCCACAGGTAGGACGCTAGGCACTGGTCAAGAGAGGCTGTTCCCACCCCCACCCTGTGCCACTCTCCCGAGCCCTGATTCAAGGGCACAGCCACGTGAGCCTGCTTCCTGCACCCCTTGCCAGGGATCAGCAAGTTGCCTGAGGGGACATGATGCAGCTTGGAGTGTTCCATGCCAGAGGTCCCCAGCCGGCTGGATCATGATGAGACATCAGGCACGTTACTCAGTCTTTGCAGATCCATGGCCCCTGGCCACAACCTACTCAGCTGTGAAGGGGGTTGAAGTCACACTGGACAGGCTTGAGGAACGAGTGCCCTGAGGCAGGCCTGGAAATGTGTTTGCAGGTGGTTCTGATACATCAGCATATGAATCATTGATCTGATCAGTATAACAGAACCCTGGAAGCCCAATCCCCATCCAGCCCCAGTGCCGGGGAGTGTAGCTTAGACAATACCCCCTCATACTTTAATCTGCTGCTCCAAGAATGCGACCTAGCCTGAGGTTCAGAGGCCTGGCAATTCCAGCTCATGCACCCGGCCTGAGTTGGTCTGGCCTCTGCTTGCCTCCATCTCTGGACCCTCTCTCCCTCCCAGGCTGCAGCCACAGACAGGCACTCTTACGCTCCCAGATGGCGGTGCTGGGAGGTGCCCCTCACCTTGGGCCTGGAGGCTCTTTCTTCCTATGCCCCTGGTGGAGCTGGGGGGACACCTCCAAGCCGCTAACATGTCACAGGAAATGCAGGGAGACAGGAAGATTGCATGGTCTAGAACTTCTCTCTGGGAGATCGCTGCACTTGTTTCAAAGGAAGCCCTGGACAAGGCCCTTGGGGTAAAACAACCCCAAGAATCATGCTCTTCCCCAGCCAATGGTTGGGAAGCTTTTTAAGGAGTCCAGGCCTACTAGCCTTGGGTCTTTCTGAAGGGCTGGGTTTGGGCTGGGACTGAACCTCCTGGGTCCATCAGGAGGGTCCCCCTTTCCCACCCTCTCCCCACTCAGCTCCCAGGCCCTCCCCGATACGGAAATATTAACTCAATTGTACATGAATATCAGTGTGTCATGCCCCCAGTCCTTAATCTCCCTGGAACCCCAAGTCCTTCACTTGCCCTGGGCCACCCCACATCTCCATCTAGGCCCAGTGACAAGCCCTTGTTTACTCTGAAAACCCAACTCAAACGGCAATTCCCTTGTAAATTCTCCCATAAATTTCCTTGTAAATACTCTTCCCAGGTAAATTCCCAGGGCATTCCCAGGAACCATCCATCCTAGACATCCCAATGGGAAAAGATTTGTAAGTGGGAATTCTGTTCCCCATCATTTGTTTGCCACTGACCAAAAGGATATGACTAGGTGTCCTTCAATTCTTAGAAAGCAACTGCTTCTATACGTAACCGAAACAGAAACAGAAACTTCAGCCTGCATAGTCCCTCTGGTGATAAGTTCAGCTTCCGGGAGGCAGGCAAGACCCAAGAAATAGTGTAGACTCAGTGTGACAGGTCAACTTCCATTTCTGTTGTGGAATAAAAAGTCCCTAGATTGTGGGCCCCATTAAGGGTACCATTCAAGGCCTCCGTCTCTCTCAGAACTTCTGGGGGTAGCAGTATTTGTTGGCACCTGCCATATGCCAGGCACTTTACAGTACAATGAGGGAGGCGATCCTGTTCCCACTTTAGAGAGAAGGTCGTGTAGCTAGAATGTGGCAGATTCCAGCCCTCCTCTGATATTTTCAGGCTCTAGACTAGAGCCTCAGGGAGGTCTCAGGCCAGAGAGGAGATAAGACTGCAAAGCATGGAAAACGGGACGCCTGAGCTAAGCCCTCAGTGGCAGGAGGAGCTGTACTGGGCAGGCTTCTCAGAGGAGGTGAGGTTCCAGCTGGTTCTCTGAGGACAGGAAAAGAGGAGGAACACATAGAGTCCATATGAAGGAAACAACTTAGGCAAAGATTGAGCAGAAAGAAACCTCACATAGCCGGGTGCAATGGCTCACACCTATAATCCCAGAACACTTTGGAGGCCGAGGTAGGAGGATCACTTGAGCCTAGGAGTTCAGGACCAGCCTGGACAACACGGTGAGATCCTATCTCTACAAAAACTAAAAGAAAATTAGCCAGTCATGGTGACATATACCTGTAGTCCCAGCTACTTGGGAGGCTAAAACAGGAGGATCGGGAGATTGAGGTTGCAGTGAGCTGCGGTCATGCCACTGCACTCCAGCCTGGGAGAGAACAAGACCCTGTCTCAAAAAACAAAACAAAACAAAACAAAGATGGAAATGGGTGGGACAGGTTTTTCAGGTCCCCCTCCCCAGTCCCCTTCCCCCATTGCCTGTCAGGAACTTCTCAAGCATTCATTTTTATAAATAGCTACCTTTTAAAAAGCAACTCCTCATGTGTGGGTATCAGGGCCTAACAGTCACTCACATTGTAAATTAATTTCCCAGCTGCTCCTGTCCTCCCTTGCTGGGGTAGCCTGAAGGGGGGGGGGGGGGTGGAACCAAGGAGACAGAGGCGTTGCTGCCAGGCCCCCGTGTGGAAGAGCCCAGGCACATGGGCCAGGCCCGTGGATAAGGAATGCCGGGCCTTGAGGCACAAACCTGGAGAGGGGAGGAGGCAGGAGGCACACTGTGGCTTTCTCCCCAGTGCCTGGCTCCTCACCTGGCATGTGGCGGGGCCTCCAGGGATGCTGCAAGAGGGACTTACTACCCTTTGGGAGTCTAAAATATGTGGGCAGAGTGTGGCTGGGCAGCCAGGGAACTGGGCTGCATGTTGAGACCAAACAGGGTCTTGGAGTGTCAGAGCTAGAGAGGAAGGGGTGGGCCCTTTTTGGTATTTTCTGATTGTCAGAGTCAGCTGATGGGTTGAAATAAGCCCAGGAGGCTTTGGACTAGGGCTTCCAGGCTCAGGGATTGACACTATGTGTCTCTGGCCTTCCTGTCCCTAGCCCTGCCTGTCCAGGCTGCGGCCCTGATTCAGGTAAATGTCCCACCAGGCTCCTCACCCTTGGAACGAGGCCTAGAGCTCAGCAAATGCTTCCCTTGAGGGTGTGAATGACCACAGGACAAAACTCCAGAGCCCATTGTTCCAAAAGTTCCAGAGAAATCCAAACAAATGCCCAACAACAATATGGGGGTGAGTAGCAAGTGCAGAAAAGTCCCGGGCTTTGTCCTTAGGCATCCAGACGTTTACGTTGTCTGCATTAATGAGCTAGGAAATGGTTCTTTTTACGCCAGTAATAACAACCACTCCTGTGTTCTCATTTAATCCTGGCAAAAACCAAGTAAGGCCAACATTATCATCCCAGTTATGCAGAGGAGGGGATTGAGGCTCCAAGAGGACCCCTGATTTCCCCACAGTTCCACGGTTAGTAGATAACCATGCTGGTACTTGAACCCAGGGTCCCGACTTCTCTCCTAGCTCAGTTCAGTGGATCTGCTGCCCTGATCCAGGGACAGGATTGGCTCCCAATGTGGACACAGCAGATAAGGAAGCAGACCCCTGTGAGGTGTCCAGGAGGCCAGGCTTGCCCAGCACTGCCTGCCCGGGTGCTGCTGGGGGAAGCCAGGTGCCCACTGAGTGGGGCTGGCCAGGTCACTGTCATCTCATCCACCGAGGCTGACCATGCTTTCTGCTATACAGTCACTCATTTTTCCTGGCCATGCAGCACTCATTCCTTCCCAGTGATCCCCTGGCCCTCCAGGGCTCTGAAATGAGGTATGCCCCAGGTCTTCCTCTCCCAGTCCAGCTCAACCCTGCTTGCCAAGCCTAGGGCCCTTCGCAGTGGTGGGAAAAAGGAGGCAGCCATGGATAAGACACTTGCAGAAAGTTAGCAATTGACTGAATCTCCTCAAACACTACAAGATTTTCATGGGCTAATATCTTCAGCAGAAAAAGAAAAATTGCTGAACTCATAAATTGTGATTTTGCATGCTCATCTATTTCCAGAGCGCCTTGCTAGATAACTAAGAGCTTGTTCTTTGATTATGGCCATTTAGTAAATGGGATCTAACAGGCTTGTTTTGAGTCTCACGAGCCTTGCAGTTTGCTCCAAGAAGCTGTCTGTTCCAGCGCTTCCATCTGGCAGATGGCCTCACTGTGATGCACTCAGAAGTCAGGAGAACCGCAGCATCAACAGAAGCACAATTAATCAGTGCAATTGTTTTCCCTGCTGTGAACATGACACTTCCCTGGGTTTTTGAGGGCAACCCACACAGGAAGGACCTAGTTTTGCATTCTCTATGGCATTCAAAACCATGTTGAGTGTCCAAGAAGCTTTTGTTTCTGACATTGGTCTTCCTGTTCATTCTCTATGTCCCTGAAAACACTGCTGCAGTCACCAACCAGGCCACCATGCAGGGCAGCAAAGCGCTTGGCCCTCCTTGTCCTGGTGGGGATGGCGGTGTTGTGTCTCACAAGGAGTCTGAAGTTACCTCGAGGTCAGCACCGATGAATGGTCCTGACCGGAGGCTGTCTGGATTCCGGGCTTTGCTAATTGTTATTTTTATGAGAAAATTACTTGTTTTTGTTCCTTGCAGACCAGAAGGAGGAAAACAACTTAAACTAGTAGCTGAACAGGAAGGGGAAGCCCATAGCTCCCTAATGAGATATCAGCTGAGAGCTGTGGATTTGTGGAGCCTCTGGAAGCAAAGGCCCGGGAGGCTGCGACTCCTTTAGAGCTGTTGGCCCAGCCCGAGCCAGGCCTTTTTTGGGAACCTGTGAATCTCAGGTTTTCAGTCTACAAAATGACAACTCAAAACCTGCTGAATTATGTGATCCTCAGGATTAAAAGCAGTTAGGGGCTTGGGGGGTCTCCCTGGGAAGAACAAGTAACAAAGAGACTCAAAGTACCACGGGTTGTGGTGGAGACAGAGGACCCCATGGTTAAAGAGGAGAGGGTGGTTTAAACACAGAAATTTATTCTCTCACAGTTCCAGAGGCCTGAAGTTCAAAACCAAGGTGTCAGCAGGCCCATGCTCCCTCTGAAGGCTCTCGGGGAGAATGCTTTGCCCCTCTAGCTTCTGGAGGCTCCGGGCATGTAGACCTACCCTAAATCCAGAAAAGTCTCATCCCAAGACCTTCAGCTTAATTATATCAGCAAAGACTGTGTTTCCAGGTAAGATCTTGTTCCCAGGTACCAGGGGTTAGAACTTGGACATATCTTTTGGGTGGACACCATTCAACCCACTACAGTGACATTTACAGATTCTAGGGATTAGAGTCTGTTATCTTGGGGGTACTTTTGGTAGTATTCTGCCTACCACATTCTCTATGTTGCGGTGGCTACCAGTAGGCTGTGGCCCTGGGGACCACAGAGTGATGGGCTATGCTGGCAGACAGGAAGGCTGCCCAGGCCCCTCTGCTCCCATGGGGCTTGGCAGGGAGCAGTTAGAAGTGCAAGGAGCACAGCTGCAGCCCTGGAGCAGGGGCCACCTGTGTTCCTGTCCACAGATTCCTGAGCAGGCCCAGTGACCCCCAAACAGATGGGAAGGACAGGCTGGGAGCTGATCCCCGGGCTCCAGTACCCTGAAGAGACAGGAGGAAGGAGCCTCTGAAGATTACAATAATCACTGCCATTTATTGAAGACCTTCCATGTTCGAGGTACTTTTCTTCATTGTGTAACTTAATCCTTATAATAATTCTAACCATTTTACAGATAAGGATACTGAGGCTCAAAGAGCTTTCATAACCTGACCGAGATCTCACAGTTGAGTGAGAAAAAAAAACAAAATAAGAACTCAGGTTGGTTGGAGGACAAAGTCCTTGGTTTTTCACGACATCATGCTGTCTCTCTGTATAACAAACTTAAAGTTCTAAATCACCAGCATAGGGTGGAGTAGGGTACGGGGACAGGACTCCAGAGTCCTGGGGCTACACGAAGACCTGAGTCAGAAGTCTCTGTAGCCCCATAGCCTGTGTCATCAGGGACGGAGGAAGTGTTCTGATAGGAACAGAGGAAAAATGGCCCCAACCTAGAAATCTTGGTGTTCTGAGCTGGAAGGAGGCAGCAGAGCCTGGAAAGAGCCTGAGCAGAACTACATGAGGGGTTGGCAGCAGAGCCAGGCCTGAGCCCTGCTTCCCAGCCTCTCCCCTGGGCCGCCCTGCCCCTTCAAGGAAAGACTTCAGAACCGAGCCAGCTCTTGAGCCATCAGAAAGGAAAGAGTGCAGGGGGTAAAACCAAAAGCCTCAGTCTCAGTCCCAGCCCTTGCTCTTAGCTCTGTGACTTTAGATATGACTCAACCTCTCTGAGCCTGGAGTCCTTGGAAATAAGATGAGGCAAGAGGGGAGCAGGCCTGCGGGGATCTGAGAGAAGGGGGAATCTCCATTCCTGGCCTCGGTGCTCCGGCCTGCTGGAGAAGAGCAGGCAGGACCATGTCACCTGAGTGGCCTGCATTCTGGCCCAGCCCTTTGGCAGTGGCACTGGGGAGATACCAGGCTCTACTTCGAGCTCGTGAAGTGGCACCTGATGTGAGCAGGTGGACCTGGGGCACTCAGCAGGCTCCAGGGAAAGACTCCTGGGGGAAGCTCTGGTGAGCATGGGCCCAAGGCAGGGGCACAGAAGTACCCATGGGCCAGGATGTGGGCCCCAGCAGGTCCAGGAGGCTGGAGGGAGTGAGCAGTGGGAAGATCTCTCTCTGCTGCTGTCCCTTCTTCTCAGGAGGACCAATACCAGGCATCCGAGGCACGCTGTTTTTCCAACCGATGGCGCCAGTCTGTTTGGCCAATGACCTTTGGAGGGAACCAGGGCAATAAAGTTGGAAATGCCGAGGCACAGGAAAAAGGACACAAAGTCGAACAATGTGGGGAGTGTTCGGCAGGAAGAGAGGGAACAGGCCCGGGCTGCCTCACAGGCCTCTGGCTCCAAGAGTCTGGAGGTGCATGGGGTGGCCCCGGGGCTCAGGCTGTGCTGTGAGGGAGGGGCCTCTGCTAGGGCTGGGTCCCCAGCCTAGAGCTTGCTCCCCAGCCTAGGCCAGGGTGGAAAAACGCAGAGGGAGCAAGGCTGGGGGAAAGGCCTGACAGAATGGAGTGCAGCCTAAGGAAGGGGGTGCTGGGGTACCGTCAAGGAACAGCCATCTTCAGACTTGGGCCTTCAGTTTTGTTTTTTCCTTTAACCGCAAAGTCTAGCAAACACTAAGCCTCAAGGCCTGGTCTATGTCTCAGAGCAGCGGAAGAAGATGGGGACCCTGTCCCAGAAGCCGGACCCTCCCCAGTGTCCTCACTGCCCTGTCATAGGTCTTCCTCTTCTCTCTCCCTGGGTTCTGCAATCCTTCCCAGCCCTCTCCTGGCTCCCTAGTGCCTTTAGGATAAAATCCAAGCTCCCAGCCGGCATCTGAGGCCTTCCATGACCCTGCCCAGGGCTTTCTGGCCTCAGCCCGAGAGAAGCAAGCCAAACAGTGACCCTTTATGCAACAGACCCTGCTGCCCTCCTGGAAGTCACACCTCCAAACTCCTCCAGCTCAGAGAGCCACTTGCTCCAAGCCTCCAGGCCTTGCTGGCTTGTTCCCCTTTCTGAGACACCATTTCTTCTCCTCCTCCCCTAGCAGAATCTTACTAACACCTGGGAACTCACTTGGGCAGTTCTTGGGAACCACCTCTTGCTCTGTCAGCCTGGGTAGCCCCAAGATGTCCTCCATGGCCATCCTAGAATTATCATAAGGCAATTAGACATTTACCCATCTCTCTCCCACCATCCTGAGCCCTTGGGGCTGCAATGGAGGCTCTCTTTTGTCTTTATACCCATGACCAAGTTCAGCTGCCAGGCGACATCGAGTACCAATGAGCCCGGCAGCTAGGAAAGACATGATCAGCAGGACTGACAGTGGCCCTAGGGCTCAGCCGCAGCAAGCAGGTGCCCAGGGAGCATTTATGAGATGCATGAGCCCAAGAGCTCAAGTTCAGCAACCTGACGGCGATCATTTGAAGGCCAGAGAATGGAAGGAAGGTGTTTTCCCTGCTCTAGCATTCTATAAAGTTGGAAAAATGTTTACCCCAGGAGTCAGGAGATAGTGCTTTAAAACAGAAGCGGGACTCCATATTCTGGTGTCCCAGCCTAAAAGAAGGGGGAAAAAAAACTCTCTTTTCAAACGTTTCCATGAGAAGAGGGTGCTGAGGATGAGAGGAGTAGTCTCTGGGGTGTCAAAAGCCCTGGAATTGCTTGTGGCCGGGGTTAGGGGAGTAGACTGATTCAGGTGGGAGCCAGGTGCAGCCCGTTGCATAAAGGATCAATGTTCGGTTTGCTTCTCTCAGGCTGAGGCCAGAAAAGCCCTGGGCAGGGCTGGGGGCAGCCCAGAGGGACTCCTATGAATGACCAGGCAGAGGGTCCTGATCCCAGGGAGGGAGACTGTTGGGGGCTGGGGAGCAGCACCTGCCTGCCTTTTCTGGAAAGTAGAGAGAGGCGGTGGGGCAAATGGGAAGCAGGGCAAGGTTCAGGGAATGTGTGAGGCTTGGGCTTCCTGGATACTCTAGAACTTAGCCCACAGCCTGGCCTGTGACTTGAGGTCCCCTGTGCCCAACTCCAAGGGCACAGGCCAATGGTTGGGAGACTCACTGGGATCAATGGAGTCGGAGGATCAGGAGGACACTGGGAACCAGTGGGGCTGGTGACCGAGAGAGGCATGGCTGTGGGTTTGTTGGTGGACTTAGGGGAAGGGTTGCCAAGTAAAATACTGGTTACATTTGAATTTCAGATCAATGAATTTTTTTAGCCTGAGTATGTTTCAAATATTGCCTGGGAAATACTTAGACTAAAATAAGAATTTGTTGTTCATCTAAAACTCAAATTTAGTTGGGTGTCTGATATATTTCTTTGTCAAATTTGGCCACCCTATGTAGGAGTCAGCCTGTTCTGAGAGGCAGCCACAGTCTGTCCACAGGCCCAATTACAGCAGACGTTTCTAAAACAACAAAAGCCCCAGCAGCTTGCACAGAAAAACAAAATACGTAACTTCCTGAGGACACGTTATTGTCTGAAGGTGGAAGTCTGCGATTTTGAAGGAAAAAACAAAAAGTTTTCTTGTAAGGAAGAGTGAGTCACAGACAGGCTAAACATGTTTCTCTGCCTTTTGGGGGTGGTGGGACATGGGCCTCCCTTTCTCTCTCTCTCTCCTGCCTCCATTCTTTTGGCTACCCGGGAACAAGGCCCAGGCAGGCTGGGCTGGGCTGCGGCTGAGCTGTAGGGCCACTGTCAGTCCTGCTGATCATGTCATTCCTAGCTGCCGGGCTCATTGGTGCCCGAAGTCGACCAGTACTCTGCTTACCCCAGAGAGTCTCCAGCCCACTGGGACCTCAAGCCACAGACCAGGCTGTGGGCTAAGCTTTGGAGTGACCAAGACGGCCTCGAGGGCAATCTCCTTGCCAGCAGTAGAGAGGATGCTGATGAGTCCCTTGGGAGGTCCCAACTGAGCTCTGGGGCTCAGAGCTGGGAGAGGCTGCCAAGATCTGCCTGTCCCTCATCAGGTGGGAACTCTTCGAGATAAGCACTATGTCTTATGGTTCTCCATCCTGTCCCCAACACAGGGCCTGGCCTATCACGGTGAGTGTGGAATGGGATGTGGCCTGGGCAGCTGCCCAGCCCTGGGCCCTGAGCTCCTTCCAGGAGCTGCTGCCACAGACAGGCAGATGTGTCAGCATGGCTGGGCCATGGCAGGCCTGGGAGCCTCCTGATTTGGTTCCTGTCACCTCCTCCCTCACCTCCTGTCTAGTCCCCAGACAAAGGGCCCAGTTACAAGCCACAAGTCTGATCCTGTTGCTGCTCTGCTTAAAACCTGACAGGGCTTCCATCTCACCCCGAGTGAACACTGAAGCCTGACGGCGGCCCAGGCTTGGCCCCTTCCTCCATTACCCGCCCGGCTCCAGCTCCTAGGAACCCCCACCACGTGCTGACCCTGCTCTTCTTGCTGTTCCCTGAACAGACTGGGGTTTCTGCACTTGCTGCTCCTTTTTCCTAGAATGTTCTTCCCCAGGTAGCCACGGGACTCCTTCCCGCCCTCCTCTAAGTCATTCCTGACCACGTGTGAGACTGCAGCCCCCTACCCCGCACCCCCCAGCACCACCTTTCTCCTCCTGTGAGGCTCTTTCTCCTGCTAGAACTGACTTGGGTTTGTGTCTGTCTCCAGCTAGAATGGCCCTGAGTATAGGGATTCATTTCTCTTTTGTTCTAGGCCCTTAGCTTCTAGGACAGTCTGGGCAGTCAGCAGGTCAGGGGTGGTGGGGGTGGTCCTGAGGCACTGAGCGAGACCAGCCCTAGAGGAGCAGGTGAGGAGGGGGCTGGAGCTGCCCTCCTAGGGGACTGACTGTTCAAATGACCTCCAGAGAGCCCCTGGGGACGTTGAGTTCCCCCTCGGTGCTGGGGGCCAGCTGTGGGAGCCACATCTGCATCATTGGAACTCATCTCCTCTTTCTTGAAGCTGCTGCAAACTTGGGGTCAGGTTCCACTGGCACGGAAGGGACACTGTGGGTCCTAAGGAGGGAAGCTCAGCTACTCCCAGGGACTGGGGTGAAAGGGCAAGGTCACAGGTCAGAGAGTGACCTTTCTAGCCTGCGGTCAGTCCTCTGGGCACAAAGGCAGCCTCTCCTCTGTCTGCAGGAGCCTGGAGACTGTCTGGCCCCACGGCATTCCAGGCATTCTTTGGGGTCCTAGTGGCCGGGGGCTGTGTCTGGGGGGGAAGTAGGTCTTTATGCCAGTGAGGAAGTGTCTGGCTGATCGCAGACCCCCTTTGTTTGGCTGCCAGCACCACATGCCTTCCTCAGGCCTCTCTGTCTTAACGAACTTACCAGCAGGGGCGAGGGTGGGTATGGGGACTGGGATACTTGGGGCCGGGCCCTCCTGTGGCCCTGCAAGCACAGAGCCCCTTGATTCCCCAGCGTCTGACTGGCCTGGCCTCAGGCAGCCCAGTAGGAATCAGTGTGAGGGCAAGGCTGAGATGCCCCCAGCTTCTGCCCCCTTGTTCTAGAAGCAGCACCTTACAGGGAATGTGGCTTGACCAGTGGAAGGAACTTGAGTCCGGGGGTCACCCATATTGATGTGAGTCCCGTGCTGCTGCCACTTACTAAGGATGTGACCTTTTCTCAGTAACATCAAGTCAACTCCCAAGTCTCGGTGTTGTCGTCTGTAAAACGAACTAGTAATATTCATCAGATCGTGTTATTGACAGATTAGATGAATCTGTGTGATGGTGAGCAGGGTGGCTTCTAGCACATGCAGGCACCCAATACCCGTGACTTCCATGGTGTCAGGAGATTCTGAGAGGGGGACAGAGTAGGAGAAACTCAATCCTTGTTCTCAGGGGTTCAGGGGCTAGAAGGGTAGTGAAGGGACCTCTAGGAATGGGAAAAGAGAACCTGTGGGGGGCCAGCCTTGGTGGCTCATGCCTGTGATCCCAGCACTTTGGGAGGCTGAGGCAGGCAGATCACCTGAGGTCAGGAGTTTGAGACCAGCCTGGCCAACTTGGTGAAACCCCGTCTCTACTAAAAATACAAAAATTAGCTGGGCATGGTGGTGTGTGCCTGTAATCCCAGCTAGTCGGGAGGCTGAGGCAGGAGAATCGCTTGAGCCCAGGAGGCAGGGTTTGCAGTGAGCTGAGATCGCGCCATTGCACTCCAGCCTGGGTGACAAGAGCAAAACTCCATCTCAAAAAAAAAAACAAAAAAAAAAACCTGTGACAAACTCCATCCCTGGCCTCACAGCTGCCTGTCACTGCAGCCAAGAGAGAAGTGCCTAGAGCTAGAGCCAGAGTGCAGGTGGCCAGAGTGAGCAAGTGATGCCTGCTCCTCCTTGTCTTCCTTGACCAGAGAGCCAGGGAACAGGAGACCCAGTGTGACTCTGAGGGCTTTGGACCCACAGGTGCTCAGGCCACTGGGGCAGAAATGCTGAGAGCTGGGAGTCACCCCACCCGGACCCACATACTACAGATCCCTGGGCAGTTCAGAGACTCAGCTGGGAAGGAGTCAGCCCAAGCAGTGTCTGTGTCTCCCTTAGAGCTGTACCCCGGCACAGGCGGGGGAGA
This sequence comes from Homo sapiens, assembly GCF_000001405.40. Classification (NCBI taxonomy): domain Eukaryota; kingdom Metazoa; phylum Chordata; class Mammalia; order Primates; family Hominidae; genus Homo; species Homo sapiens. The sequence continues at coordinate 20,566,249 of NC_000002.12, read as the reverse complement.
TGGGCAGTTATAGGGGAAACATCTTGAACTCTACTGCAGGGGAATAAGTCTGGCTGCCAAAGGAAGGGCTCCCCAAGGAGTGAACTCCCTGTCAGTGCCGGGATGGGGCAAAGCTGGTGAGTGTAGCAGGAGCTGCAGAGCCTCCTGTCCTGGGAAATGAGCTGGGAGTTCCTAGAGGGGCAGGGTGGGCTGTTTGCTAACTGCGACCTTGGTGGAGTTTGTTAAGCCCTTTCCTCATTAGTGAAATAGGGTTGTCATAACTACCATACCAGGAAGCAATGCGTATGTGGTAGCTAGCTTGGAGCGCTCAGCCATGAATGATGGCTGTTCTTTTTCCATGGAAGCCTTGGCCTGTGAGGCAGCACATTCCAGTTCCAGCCCTGACTCTACATCCATCTCACTGCGCAGGCTCCAGCAGGGCTCCGGCTCTCTGGGCTGCTGCTGTCCCGCTATATCCTGAGAGGAGTGACAAAACCCTGCTCTGACCTGCCTGGTGGCTTTGGCTTGGCCCTGGAGAGCCCTGCTCCCTGTTGGTGGAGCAGGATCAGAGGTTCCACATTCATCTTCCAGTGGGATGAGTGCAGCTGTTATTAGACGTACCCTAGTTGCAGGGTGTGCTGACTGTCCCACGGGGTGGGGTTGGCCTGCCCGGGAGGGGCTGTCCCCACCACCACCCTTTCCTAGTTTGTGGGAGGCTACAGATGGCTGCCAGGGTCAAGCTTCAGAGGAGATCTCCTGGGTATCCCTGGGTCAGGGTATAGCAGGTGGCAGGGAGACCCACTCTGTCGAGATCATTAATTGTGGAGAGGGTCTGGCGGGGGACAGGGGATGGCATTCAGAGTGGTCCCTAGGCTGTGTGGGAAGTGGACAGGAGGGTCAGGAAGCAGGGGCCATGGAAGTGCCTGGTCCATCTGGTGGAGGAGCCACAGTCTTGGGTGAGAGCAGGCTGTGGGCGACACGGGGGCTGCTGCCCTGGGTGAGTGTGCAGCAATTGCACCCTGGGTATGGCCTCACCCCATTTTATCCCCTATACACAGCCGGGCACTGAGCTGGGGGCTAGCTCTGCTCTGGGCCTCCTAGTCTTAGGTCTTTGCTGGCTAACTGAGCCACAATTTTGTGTCTTCCCACAGAGACTGTTGGACCTGCTGCTGGGAAGAAGTGGGTAACCTGCTCTCAAGCTCCAGCATTTGGCAGGTTAAGGCCATGATCCCAGTCTGGGCTGTTGCTAATGTCCCTCTCCACTTCCTGAGCCCCCAAAGAACAGGGCAGAGCCTGCAGCACGATGCCTACTTGTCTGCCATGCAGGAGGAAGTGACCAAGGGAGGCTGATGCCACCCTCTGAGTCCTGGTGGTGGAAGTTCTGCCTCTGTAGGTGCCTTTTCCATACAGTGTGGCAGTACCTCCATTCTCAGTGAGGAGAGACCCATAAAATGACTCTCCAAACACAAATAGAAAGGCTATTTCTGGGCCGGGCATGGTGGCTCACACCTGTAATCTCAGCACTTTGGGAGGCTGAGGCGGGCAGATTACCTGAGATCAGGAGTTCGAGACCAGCCTGGCCAACATGGTGAAACTCCATCTCTACTAAAAATACGAAACTTACCCAGGCATGGTGGTACATGCTGGTAGTCCCAGTTATTCGGGTGGCTAAGGCATGAGAATCACTTGAATCAGGGAGGTGGAGATTGCAGTCAGCCAAGATCATACCACTGCACTCCAGCCTGGGGGACAAGTGAAACTCCATCTCAAAAAAACAAAAACAAAACAAAACAAAAAACCAGAAAGACTATTTCTGGAACTAGAAAAAGAATAAAGTGACAAGGAGTAAAGAAGAGATCACAGAAGGAACTGGCTGGTCACCAGCAGCCCTGAGGGAGCCCAGAGCTGGAGGGTGGGCCAGCTGGGGCCACGGAGGCAGCTTCTGCTCCACGTGATGGAGTCTCTGTCGGAGTCACAGCCGTCCACCCTGCAGTAGACCACCTGAGAGGTGGTGAGCTCCCCGTCATGATGGGAGCCCAAGCTGGGACTGAAAAGCACCTGTTAGAGAGACTAGAGGGGTTTCCAGCCTGAGGAAGAGGACAGCAGTGGACAAATTCTCACATGCTCTGTTGGCCCCAGATTCACTCCTTCGAGGAGCCTCCAGAGGGGCTGAGCAACAGTTCCCACGTTCACTCTGGACTTGCCGTGCTAGGATCCTAGGAGCCCTCCTTTTCCTATTCCCGTCCTCCTGGCTCTCCTCCCAGCTGATTAATAATATTATGCATGCACAACTCATCACATGTGTCACTGCTGAGTGAGACTACACTAAGTGGTTCCATTGCCCCGAGCTTCTCAAACTCTAACAGCAGAAAACCCCTTGGGGTCTGATTCAGCAGGTCTGGGGTGGGGCCTGAGACTCTGCATTTCCAACCAGCTCTCAGGGGATGTCGATACCGCTGGTCCATGAACCACACTTTGAAAAACAAAGCTGTAGCTACCAATGAGAGCCCTCTGGATTCTACTGCCAGGGTGGAGGGGTGGGCGAGTGTGAAGAAGCCCCCTGTGCAGGAATGGCAAAAGAATGGACTTAGTACTGGTGAGCTTTGTGAAGCAGAACGAAGTCCAAATCTGCCACTCTCCATCTCGGGGACCATTCCTCGTCTTCCCTGCTTGAGAAGCATAAGCCTGTGATAGGAGGGCAGCTCCACCATGGTGGACCACCCCCTGCCCCTCCACACCTGGCCCCAGGAAACTGCTTTTGCCTGTAGAAGCTCCTTATTGAGTCTGCGGACCAGTAGTGGCCCCATCAGACCACAGCTCATTGCAGGGGCCAGGCTGGGCCCTCATTGCTGGGGGTCTAACCTGAGGAGTCCCTCCTCCCCACCCCTGTTTGGCTGCTGACCACAGAGGCAACACTGTGCAGTGGCCTGCACTGGGAACCAAGGGCCTGTGGCCCTTCCCTCTCTGGGCCTCAGTTTCCCCATCTGTAATGTGTGGGTGCACTGGAGGCTGTCTTAGAGAGATCTGGCTCTGCAACCACTGGTTCAGCCTTCTGGGGTTCAGAGCAGGTGAGGATGCAAGGACATGGGGGAGAGGTGAGCATGACGAGTAGCCCCCAATGGCCTGAGCAGGGCAGGCTGGCTCCAAGAGGATGCACACGCCTTCACAGTCTCTCTCTGCACTGAGGGTTCTCAGATATTTTTAGGAAGGTCGGAGCCTCCTGGGCTGTGATTCATTAATGCAGCTGACGAAGATCAGCATCTTTGGAAATCGCAGTGGGAAGTTGAGAAGGTTCCCAGGTACTGGTGTCGCGTACTGGGGAGCGGGGAGGTTGGTGGAGAGGGAAAGTGAGGATACATGTATGGGAGTGGATAGGTATTAGGGATAGAGAAAACCAAAGTGTTTTTCTTTCTCTCATACACAGCTCAACACAATGCTTCCAACACCAGACGTGTGCGAGTTGTTTTCCCGCCACCAAGGAACTCTCCAGCAGACACCAGCTGCCTGTCTGTCCTCGCTTTGAATTCAATTCTGACACTATCCCCCTGGAGACAGCTTCTAGTCCCACAGGCTAAGGGCTCAGTCCCACAACACTGCCCCCTGCTTCAGAGGCCAATCGTGCAAGCCTGCATTGTGGCTTTCGCTTCTGATTGACTGGCTGTAAATCATGGGTTCCTGTGACCCCCTCTGCAGGTTCCATTAATTTGCTAGAGCAGCTCAAAGGACTCAGAAACACTTTACTTACATTTACCCATTAATTATATTTTACTTTTATTTTATTTTTATTTTTTAGACACAAGGTCTCACTCTGTCGCCCAGGCTAAAGTGCAGTGGAGTGATCATAGCTCACTACAGCCTCAAACTCCTGGGCTCAAGTGATCATCCTGCCTCAGCCTCCCAAGCAGCTGGGACTATAGGCACATGCTACCACAGCTGGCTAATTTTGTTTATTTTAGTAGAGATGGGGTCTTGCTATGTTGCCCAGGCTGGTGTCAAACTCCTAGCTTCAAGCATTCTTCCCACCTCAGCCTCCCAAAGTACTGGGGTTACAGGTGTGAGCCACAGTGCCTGACCTACCCATTGATTATAAAGGATGTTACAGAGGAGTCCAATGAACAGTCGGAGTTGAAAGAGATGCCTAGGGCGAGGCATGGGGAAAGGGGCATGGAGCCTCCATGCCTTGTCCGGGTGCATTCCCTCCCAGCACCTCCACGTGGTTAGCAATCCGGAAGTTCCCCAAACCTAGTCCTTTGGGGTTTTTATGGAGGCTTTATTACTTCTGTATGATTGATTAAATCATTGGCCATTGTTGATCAGCTCAACCTTCAGCCTCTCTTCCACCCCAGGAGGTTGGGCGCTAGGGTTAGAAGTCCCAACCTTCTAATCACGTCTTGTTCTTTCTGGTAATCAGCCCTCATCCTGAAGCTATGCAGGGGCCCCCAAGTCATGAGTCACCAGTCATCTCATTAGCATAAAAAAGATACTCATCACTCTGGCAATTCCAAGGGTTTTAAGGAGCAGTGTGCCAGAAACCAAGAAGACAAAATATATATTTCTTATTACATCACAGTATCACAGCAGGGGTCCTGGGAGTGTGCATTTTGAGACGGAGGGGCAGAACCATTTGGCCACAATAAAATGTTCCAAGTGTTCTGGAAGAATGCTTGTGTACGCATATGCATATGTGTGGAGGCATGTGGGTGTGTGTGTATGTGTGTGCAGGTGGGGAGGGGTTGTATGTGTGTGATGGAGGGAAGCCAACAGAGACATTGTGGCATCGTGGACCAGCCTCTGGGACTCTTGTGCTCTAGCTCAATAAATATCTGTTGAGGCCCTACTGTGGTCAGGCATTGTGAGGCCCATTTATTTACTGCTCTTTTGTCTATTAACCCATTTGTTCTGCAAATGTGTATTGGGCAGCTGTTCTCTGCAGGCCCTGAGTCAGCTGTTGGGGACAGAGACGAACCAGACACAGTGCCTACCCTCAGGGCTCTGCATGCAGTGGGAGAAAGGGATCCCATGTGCCAGCTCTGAGCTGCAGGACAGCGAGGGCACCACAGGAGAAGACTGGGGAGCATCCCCAAGGAGTGGGCACTGGGCAGGACCTGCAGGTGTGACAGAGAATAAGCAAACCACCAGGCAAAGGCACAGAGGCATGACGAGGCAGGCATGTTTGGAAAGATGGCACAGAGGAGTCAGTGCAAGTCTAGACCTGGAGAGACCTGGGATGCCAGCTGGGGGTAGGGTGTACTGGCTGCTCTCTCTGGATTCACTGCTGCCCTCTGCCCCTTGTGGGGACTGAAGAGGCTCCTGTTGCCCCAGGGTCATTCTCAGACCCTGCTTTCCCTTCCTCTTCTTTCTCATCACCATCACACCCACTCCCTTCATTGCTGCTCCCACCCACAGTCCCCAGGGAGGCGTCAGTTCCAGGGACAGAACAGTGTCCTCAGCTACTCTAGGGGCACCACCGCTTTGGGACCTGCCTGCAGTCGGAGGCCATAGGGATGAAGGCAAGAGCCAGGCCTGAGAGTTGGAAGGCCTGGCTCTGCTTCTGACTCCAGTATTTTCTGCCATGTGACCTTGGGTGAGTCCCTTCTCTCTGGGCCTCAGTTTCTGACTCTGTCAAATGAGAAAACTGTCTACACAGGTGTGTGTAGACAACCATTTCTTTCCTGCCTGCCTCAATGCTAACATAGTAGAGGTCAAGTCATTTGATAAACACCAAAACACACATCTGTTCTTGTTATTCCTGCAGGACACTGGCTCATAAGGGATTTCAATGTGCACAGAGCAACTGCCTCCTCACCTCCCCACGGATTCCACTACAACCATCTAGGAGGACCACAGCAGCTTCGTCTAGCCTTCCCCTTCCCCCAGGATCCTGGGCTGGGGTGGAGGAGGAGGCGCCACTGCAGATCCAGTATGGTGAGAGGTGAGAAAGCTGTTCCCCAGGCCTGGGTGCTGCCCCAGGTTCTGCCACCTACCCACCCACAAATGAGATAGTGGGCCTGGCCATGTCCTGGTCCTCAGCCCTGGGACATGTACCTTCTACCAGCCCTGGAACCACCTTCCCCATTGCCTTTTGCTAGCCTGTGCTTAGAGTTTGCAAAGCTAGCCATGAGAGCCAGCCTGGCTGTGTCAATGTACAAAAGCAGCCAAATGTCCATGGGGTCTGTGCCTCCCCAGCCCTGCTTGTATGTGCTGGGCTGCCAGATGAGAGCAGGTATGGTGGCTTCCCCAGTGTGCAAGCTGACTTAGAAACAGGTCACCTGGTATTCCCGCTGCTAAGGATTTAGAGACTCAGGGTGCTTCATTTCTCTTTCCCTAGAACAACCTCTGAACTGCCTTGTGACCTTTCAGGAGCTTATTCACAGCATAAAAATCGCAAGTGGTGCACAGCTCAGGTGTGAGGGAAGCCCAGAGCAGGCCTCCCTAGGCAGGGTGAGAAAGGCTGATGAGTGCCAGTGCAGTGCCTGGATGCAGAGGGGCTGGAGACAATGTCTGCCACCCATCTATCCATCATCCATCCATCCATCCATCCATCCATCCATCCATCCATCCACCCACCCACCCGTCCATCTACCCATCCATTCATCCACCCATCCATCCATGCACCCATCCATCCATCCATCTACCTATCCATCCACCCATCCATTCATCCACCCATCCATTCATCCACCTATCCATCCATGCATCCACCCATCCACCTCCATTCATCCACCTATCCATCCATGCATCCATCCATCCACCCATCCATCTACCCATCCATCCATTCATCCAATCATCCATCCATCCATCCATTCATCCATCCACCCACCCATCTATCCACCTGTCCATCCACACATCCAACAAATACTCACTGCGTTCTTCTACAAGCACTGGGAGACCCTGTAGAAAGGACCCAATCCTACCCTTGAGGTGCTTGGGAACAGACAGATGCAGTGACAGCGGGAGTCAGATCGGGCCTCATGGGAGCTGGTAAAGGGAGCATTGCCAAGGCATTGCAATTCCAACCTGCCTGGAGGATTAGTTTTGGTCCCAAAGGAGAAGGTTTTTGAGCTGGCCCTGAGGGGAACTGGGGCTTTGTGGGGTGAGCTGTGCAAGAAGGATGGTAGCCCTCTCCCTCTCTGGCCCCAGTTCCTACATTGACAAAGAAGTTGGACTAGAGGCACTCCAGGGCCCACTGAGATCCATGCAGATACAGCAGACTTTCCTTCCTGCATTCACGCTCCTCACGATGTGAGTCCTGGGTGCCAGCAAGCCCTGCTCTGCGGCCAGCCCAGCTTGCGATGCAGCACATCCAGGTCACACAGCAGCCTCAGGCACTTCTGCAGACCCTGTGTATCTCAACCTAGCCTCACGCTCCCAGACTGCCTCAGACCTGCCCCTGAGATGTGAGCCCAGCAGCGCCCACCCAGCCAGGCCCTACCCCCTCTGTGGTCATGGGCCCCCCAGTAGAGTGGCCCTCCCCTCCCACAGGCTTGGAGGGCTGAGTCTGTCTCTGGGGCCCTGTAACCATCTTGCTCCAGTGTCTCTACCACTGCAGGGGCATCTGCTTCCCATGCTGGAAATCAGCCAAGTCTCCCCTGTGCCGCTGGGCCCTGTTCCTGTGTCTTCTCTGTCCATGTGGGTTTGCCTCCCCCTTGAAGGTAGAATTCACAGTTCTCCATCCCACCCTCTTCGTGCCAGCGCAGTGCCTGACACATCCCCTCCGTCCGTTTCTGAAGAGGGAAACTGGGCAGCAGAGGTGTCCCTGGGCTCCTTGCCCAAGGCTGTCAGCTACCTTGCAGCCCAGAACTGAGACGGAGGCATGATACCCCACTGACCTCAAAGATGCTCAATAAGGGAGGGTGCAGATGAATGAGAAATGAGGAAATGGAGGCACAAAAGTACCAGGTGTCCAAACAGGAGGCAGAGAGGGGCCGCAAGCGGTTCAGCCTCCCTGGAAGCCAAGTAGGTGGTCCAAGCTCTTCCCCTCCCATCTGGCGACCCCTTCCATTACCTTCCCCACCCACCGTCAACGTTGCTGCCCAGAGCCCTTCAATGCTATTCCCTCTCCCACCTCTTCTCCTTCAGAACTGTCCTACACTTCCAAATTATCTCATCTCCCCTCTGCACCCCCATCCCTGGCTGCTGGTGTCAAGAGGAAAGCAACCCGCTCAACTAAATCACATGGATACAGACGCAGTGAACAATGTCCAAGTGGGTCCTTGAAAAGTAGCCTCTATCTGGGGATGCTAAGTCTGGAGGGAGAGGGAGGTGCTCTTTCGAGGGGCAGCCAGCAGCCTGGTGCCCTCTGCTTTGCAGAACTTGGGATAAGGCAGAAACCCTGCCGGGTCAGACCAGGGCTCCTCAAGAGGCCTGGGGCTCACTTGCCCTCCTCAAGGCTTTGAGGACCCCTTGGGGAACTGCCTCTCCTCTTGTTGCCCTAAACCCACACCATCTTGGCACCTGGCCCCTGCAGGGTTCTGCATTCCTGAACCAGGAGAGAGCCATGTTCAGGAATGCAGGCTGACTTCTCAGCAGCTCTGCATCCATCACAAATAGCTGATGCTCTCCGAAGGCCTCTAGAAACCTGCAGAGCACCCTCCTTGCCTTTCTCTGTGTCTTTCCAGCTTTCTCAGAGGGACCCAAAGACTTCCAGAGGGGAGCTTTCCACTCCTGATAGTAGATAAAGGATGGCTTCTCTATCCCATCCAAATGCTATAGAAATGTACACGTGTGGAAATCCCTATCAACATGACAAAGAGTTCATCAGGGTCAGAGATTTGTGTTGGAAAATGGGAAGAGGATTATACTGAACTAATGACTAAACCAGATCAAAGAAGTCACAACCTAAAAGTGGCCCAACAGAGATCAGCAGCAGAGTCTCCATAGAGGGTCAAGCCAGGAGGCCCAGCCGTCATCATTCAGAGTCCTAGAAAATGGAGAAAATAACCGCTGTTGGAAAATACAGGTCTTTGTCTGGAAGGCAGGACATCCTAAAATACCCTTATGAAATTTCGGAAGGCCAATGATAAGATCTTAGCTTCCAGAAAATAAAAAAAGAGGTCACTTGCAAGAAAAGGGAATCGCATTAGCATCAGAATTTGCATTTGCATCAGAATTTACAACAGCATAGATGCTAGAGGTCAATGGGATCAGAGAGAAAATGATTTTGAACCTTCAATTCTACAACTAGGCAAACTATCAATTAAATACCCTTTCAGACAAAGATTGTTTGAGGACATATTACATGCAAAATTAGAAAGGAATCTGAAAGACAGGAAGGCATGGGGTAGAACGAACAGTGGAATTAGCGCAGTGTGGTGCCCTGAAAGGAAATCCCAGCTGCGGGCTGCACAGGAACCAGAAAGCCAGTTCAGAACCTTCCCCACTGATTACAAATCTGGGTGATTTTAAGGACATGGAAAAGAAGAGTGTGTTTCTTCTTTGGATGAGAAATGAAAGGCAGAACAAGAAGGAGCCAGGAAAAAGAACAAACTGAACACGGCAGTCATGGCCCAAATATGTACAATTTAAACTAAAATGCAGCAACTGATGGGTTTGAGAAGCTGATGGCGTGTGCAGTAAGAGAATCCCTCTGACCCCAAGTCTTGTGTCTTCTTCAAGCAGCCTAGGTTTAGTGACTTGAGAATACAGTTGCTTCTCTGAGGGGCCAACCTGGTACTGTTTTTGTAATCATAGTACTATAAGAGCTATGTTGAAATCGACCTATAGACAAAGCCCAGAAGTCATAGCTTAGAAATGCGGTAACCTTGATCATATAAAAGAAGTTAATAAAGTAAAAGAATTTGATAATATATTTGATAAAGTTGAAGGGTCTGATGATGTAAAATAAGTCAGAACATAAACTCGGATTGATGAGAAGTGGAGGCAGAAACCATTTTCTTCTTACAGAATGGGCAGTCAGGACACATTTTGCAAAGCTGATGGAACAAAACCATACCAAGGTTTAAGCAAATTACCTAATGTTATAAGGATAACTAAAAGAGCTAAAAATAATATAACAAAACCAGGAGATGAGTGAAAGCAAAGTGAGGAAGAAGTACACTAAATGTATCAGTTCTCATAGCAGGAAGTCAATAGAAACTGCCCAAAGTTAACAAACTGTGAAATAAAGATCTAAGCATATTCAGAACTATGGTACTAGAATAGAAATAGAAACAGTCAAATGGTTTCTTCTGGGTAGTGAGATGGGCATAATCCAGACTTACTTTTGATTTATTACCATTCTCTTCTCTTTGCATCTTTATTTTGCACCTGTCTACAGCACTTTTACCTTCACACATAGACTCAATATATTGTGAAGTCTTACAGAGGAAGAACTGAGGGAAGGGGAAGGGTCTGGATGGGTGGTCAGGTATGTATGCAGAGGTGAAGTGGGGAAGGGGAGTGAGAATTGGGATTCCATTTTCTCCTGTGGGTGTGTCTGGGAGTTTCTAAGATCAAGAAGCCCATTGCATTATACCAAGGTCAGTGTTCACAGTAGGTGCCCAAAGAAGTTTCATAACTGGATACAAGGAAAAGAGCTAAGCTCCTCCCACACACAGAAGGAAGAAAGGAAGAGGGAAGGAGGAAAGAAAAAAGAAGAAAGGGAGGAAGGAAGAGGCAGGGGGGTGGGGAGCAAGGAAGGAAGGAAGGAAACTCACCATATGTAAACCCAAAGGCTCTGTTGGGCTACTTGCTCCTCCCTCTGGGGCTTTCGTCTTCATGGGGTCCTCAGGGTATGTGAAGGTACCTGATGCTACCACCTCCCCATGTGGGTACCCCTATAGTGAGGGCTGGCTTCATGCATGTGTGACCTGTGCCATTACCCAGGGCCTTACTCTGAGAAGGGCCACATATTGGATTAATGCTCTGCTGTCACCAACTTGTCATTCTTAATCATTTCTGAACAAGGACCCCACAGTTTCCTTCTGCCCTGGGCCCCAAAAACTAGGCAGCCGGAACTGCCTACAGTCCTATAGTTGGTCTGATAACAGCCACCTGGCCTCTTAAGCCGTGGACCCTGCCCACCTTGGGCTCACTCAACAGAGATGAAAAAACAAGTCAGATAAAGGCCTTGTTTTGGAACAGTTCCTAGCGTCGCATGGGGAGAAAGTCAAGAAACATTAAGTGGGGATGATACCACAGTGAGCTTAGTGAGACAATGGTGTAAACATGGATTGCGAGGGAAGCACAGAGAACAGTTAGCGCTGCAGGCCCAAGACTAATGCCTGTTCCGTTTCAGGCCGAGGCAGGGAAAGGGTGTGTGAATGCACAGGAAAGTCAAGTTCCCGCATGGCAGAAGGGCAGGATGCTGGGCCAGGAGGAGCTGGAAAGGTGGCCACGGTGGGGCTAGGACCAAGCTAGAACGTTAGAGCTCTGTCCTGAAGGCAGTGGGTTTTAAGTAGGGGGTGGATGCAAGGATCATATTTTTGTATGCAAAGAAGCACTCTAAGGTAAATGTAGCCAAAGGATAGAGGTGGAGACTCAAGCTAAGCCTTCTCAGTTCATCACTTCATATAGGGAAGACAAGGCACTGTTCCAAACCCTGTCTGAGTGCTTTTTTTTTTTTTTTTGTGAGGTGGAGTTTCACTCTTGTTGTTCAGGCTTGAGTGCAATTGCAACCTCCGCCTCCTGGGTTCAAGCGATTCCCCTGCCTCAGCCTCCCAAGTAGCTGGATTACAGGTACCCACCACCACGCCCGGCCAATTTTTATAGTTTTAGTAGAAACGGGTTTTCACCATGTTGGCCAGGCTGGTCTCGAACTCCTGACCTCAGGTGATCCGCCGGCCTCGGCCTCCCAAAGTGTTGGGATTACAGGCATCAGCCACCGCGCCTGGCCCCTGAGTGCTTCTTAAGCTTTGTGCGTGTTTGTTAGACAGTGATGCATGTATGTCTGTGCTCACTGAGGAGTGTTCATATGCTGCATGAATGTGTGTTAGGAGCGTGTGTCAGGCTATTGAGACGCATGACCAGTGACCTCAATGTTAGCAGATCATTCTCCATGGATCTCTTGTGTTTCTGCACATCTTACAAGTGAGGCACTGACTGCTTTTTGTTCTGGACTGTCTTTTCAAGGGTGTTGTATGACGAACAGCCTTGGTAGATAGAATTAGTGTCCTACTTCTGAGAGAAGGCAGGCATAGTTCCTGCTTATTATAAGACTTGGGAGTCCTAAGCTCAGAGTTCTTCCTCCCCTGTAATGTAACATAGATGTCATCTAATTCTCTTGACATCACTCGGTGGGAATTAGGGATCGGGGCCAGGCACTAAAATGCTGATACTCTGGTTCCTGGTATTGCTGTGAATACTAAACCGTCCTTCATCCCTGGCCCAGGAATCTCATGGCTTCCACCAGAATCCTCAAAACCACAGCACATCAGTTTGCTAGCTTGCACAAAAGGTAAGATCTCAGACCATTCCACGTTCTTGACACTATGTTTGTAAATACGTGTGTTTCAGTGAATCTGGCTTTGACCACATTTGTACGTACATGGAAGGATTATAGGGCTGTGGTTGCTGTGGGCCAGGTTGTTTCAGAGTTTGTACATATTGGGAAACCAGCTCCAGGATGTTTGACTCTATATGAGAAAACAATGACCGTGTATTGATATGGGACTATACCAGCTACACTCTTTGAAAGATAGGAAAGAGATGGGGTCTGCTGTGGTTTAAATGTGCTTCCCAAAGTTCATGTGTTGGAAAAATTCCCAGTGCAACAGTGTTGGGAGATGGGACCTTTAAGAGGTGATCATGTTATGAGGGCTCTGCCGTCGTAGATGGATTAATGCTGTTATTGCGCAGCAGGTTAGTTATCAAGGGTATAGTTAGTGATGGTGGCAGTGGGCTCCTGATAAAAGGGTAAATTTGGGGCCTGGCATGGTGGCTTATACCTGTAATCCCAGCATTTGGGAGGCTGAGGTGGGAGGATCGCTTTAGCCTAGGAATTTGAGAGCAGCCTGGGCAACATGGTGAAATCTCATCTCTACAAAAAACGCAAAAATTAGCTGGGCATGGTGGCGCATGCCTGTAGTCCCAGCTACTCGGGAGACTGAGGGGTGGGAGGATCACTGGAGCCCAGGAGGTTGAAGCTGCAGTGAGCCATGATGGTACCACAAACTGCAGCCTGGGTGACAGGGCAAGAGCCTGTCTAAAAAAAAAAATAAAGGATAAGTTTGGCTCTCTTCCTGTCTGTCTCACACACCCACTTACTTGCCCTTCTGCTTTCTGCCATGGGACGATGCAACAAGACAGCCTTCACCGGATGCTGAGCAGGTGCTGGGCCTGTGCCCTTGGACTTCCCACCCTCCAGACCATAAGTCAAATAAATTCCTTTCCTTTATAAATTATCTAGTCTGTGGCACTCTGTTATGGCAACATAAAATATACTAAGACAAGGACTAAAAAACATGGAGAGACAGATTTCCCCCACCACACATGCACCTGCCACTTAGGCTCATAGGGTACAATGGGTGCTCTGCCAAGTTCAGGAGCACTGGATTGAACTAGGTTGATGGTAGCGAGCACAGGAAGAGACCTATGGGGACCATCAGAGGTATAATACGAGGCTGGACTCTTGTAAAGGGGCCTTGCTTTGTGGAATAAGATCTTCTTTTCCACCCATCTGAAATCTCTGTCAACACCTGGCCCATTGGTATCAGACTCTGGGATTTAAGTCCCAGCTCTGGTTTTTGTTTTTTAAATTATTCTTGATATCTTTTCTCTAGGAGCTAAGCTTGAAAATCACCCTTCTAAAGTACCTATTATACCTTTCCAGCCAAGAAAATGGCATAGGACACTCATAAATTAACTATCTTATCGAGAGATTAGAACAGGAGCCTGAGCCCATGCCCCAGGGATAGCGTTTCAGCCTCCTCCAATTTCCAATTACGTATTTTGCTCACGTCTCTTGATCCAGTCGACTTGGTGGAAGGAGGGATTTGGTAGAAAAGAAACAACACCCAAGTACTGACTGCCCTGAGCACAGCACTGTGTGCTTTACCTGCATTCTCTTTTCTGACCCTTCAAAATCACGCTCTGTGGTCGATGCTACAGTCCCCATTCGAGAGGAGAAAGCTGAGGACTAGAGTTTGGCCATTGGTCCAAGTGCATACAGAGGCAGAGCCCAGCAAGGGTGGGGGAAGAGGGTGGCAAGGACAGCCAAGACAGGAAGTGAGAAGAGAATTCTTGCTGTCAGAAGGTGCTGACAAAGCCACAGAGAAATTGCAAGGGCACCAGAAGGCTTTTCAGAGGAGGTCGAGGCACAGGTAAGGGGGAGTCGGCAGAAGGAGAGGGAGTGAGTGTTTTGAGAGGTCAGCAGCTGGAGTTCCAAACCTTGCAATGGATTGAGTTGGAAGCCCCTTAAGGCTGCAATTACAGCTACACAGTAACATCCCTCTGCATCAGGCCCATAGGCTAGACATCACACTGCCCCCATTCCCATATCCACACCACTGCTGAAATCCATAGATGGGTCCACTGTGGCAGGTCAGCCGTGGAAGCCTCCCGGGCAGACAATGGCCTTGTTGCCTCCTCCCTGGCTTCTCTCAGCCTCTGTTATTAACATTCAGGCAGCTCTTCACACCATTCGTCGAAGGCCACGGAGGAGCTGAGATCTGATCTAGCCTGGCTGAGCTGCATTAAAATCAATTAAAAATGAGAGACAAGCCTCTTCTTTCCAATGGAAAAATCCACAGGAGCAAGAGAAAGACACACACAGCCCCATCAATCATTCCAGGCTCTGCTTTCCTTGGGCTTTTCTTCTCCACTAAACAGCTGCAGGACGAGCCGGCTGAGCAGAAAGGTCTTCTTGCCATGGGGCTGTGGCCAGCGGCTCCCAGACTGGGCCTCAGCTGCCAACAGGATGTGCCTGCTATCCCGTTGCCAGCCTGACTGCCTGGCAGTCTGACCTCAGCTGGGATGAGCAGAGAGCAACCAAGGAGAAGTCCAGAAGCCTATCCCTTGAGCCATCTCATGAGGCCTGATGCCACCTCCCCTTTCTCTTCTGGGCCCAGAATTTAGGCCTCCAGGAAACCTTGTATTGCAGGCTTATCTTACCTGTCTCTGAAGATCTGACCCGAATTAGACTTCTCTTATTCCTCTTTGGAGAGTTTTTACTGCTGTGATGATTCCTGTGCAACTGTGTTTCCCGATTTTTTCCAAGGAAGAATGGGGTGTGTGTGTATGTTTTATGCACTGGGACCTGCACCCACACAGGGCCTAGCACTAAGTAAACATTCGTCAAATGAATGAGAAAAACAAGATCAACATGCATCTGCCATCCAACAGCTGTAACCAATCAAGCAGACAGCATTTGATGCCGGTTTAGGTATTTTCTTTTTTCTTTTTTTTTTTTTTGAGGCGGAGTCTCCCTCTGTCGCCCAGGCTGGAGTGCAGTGGTGCGATCTCAGCTCACTGCAAGCTCTGCCTCCCGGGTTCATGCCATTCTCCTACCTCAGCCTCCCAAGTAGCTGGGACTACAGGCGTCTGCCACCGTGCCTGGCTAATTTTTTTAATTTTTAGTAGAGACAGGGTTTCACCATGTTAGCCAGGATGGTCTCGATCTCCTGATCTTGTGATCTGCCCACCTCGGCCTCCCAGTTTAGGTACTTTCAGTTGCAACCTGAGGTTATCCATTTAACAGTTTATTTATTTAACTGGTGGCCACATCTTTGATTGTCCTCTTGACACACTGAGAAAGTGTTCATTCTTCTTTTAAAAAAAAATTAGAGATAAGGGTCTCCCTATGCTTACCAGGCTGGTCTTGAACTTCTGGCCTAAGGCAATCCTTCTGCCTCAGCCTCCCCAAATGCTGGGATTGCAGACCTGAGCCACCATGTTTGGCCAAAAGTGTTCATTCATATAGATGCACCCAGCCCCAGCACAGTGTCATGCCCAGGATGTCAGGCTTCCTGGAAGAAGTGGGCTTGACCTCAGCCTATAAAGGTGAGTGAATTTGGCTGGGCAAGACTACAGTGGAGAGCTTAAAATATTTAAATTGACAGTGAAAGGAGTCTAGACTTGCTCTGTGTGAGCCACTCCTGTTCATACTACAGATGGCCTACCCTCACCCAAATGACTATTTTATACCCTCCCCTGAGTGAAGATGACCCTAGAGAGTAGGCTTAATGGACAATGAGAAAGAGTATCTTGATCCAGAGCCACTGGGATTTTCTTGGGTGTTCCAACATGCAGGCACTGATTGGATTGGATTTGAAATACAATTCTTCCCAGTAATTTATGGAAGGATATTGACTCAAATGCATAATTGTTTCAAGTAATCAGAGCACTTTGCAATTCATTCATTTAGAAGCTTAACCTGTCATGTGAGTTGTTAAATCACAATTGCAAAGGCTGAGGCTTCAGTAATGCTCCCACTGGACCAAGTATGTCATGGACATAACCAAATACCATTGGTGGAAGGGTGTTCTCTGCTTCTCATGGTGCGGGTATGTGAAGAGGCAGCCAGTTGGAAAGAGATTGTCAGTTGAAAGAGTTCAAGCCTTGATTATTTACTATTGTGTAATTCAGAGAAAACTATTAATTAGCTGAAGTGCTTAGACCTCTAGGCAGTGCAGGCTGTTTTCAATGCACGGCTGGTGATAAAGAAGGGCCTTACTCACCAGCTCTGAAATCAGGGGTTCATAAAGCAACTCACTTTGTGACTTTGTTCATTGATTCATTCACAGCACTTGTTCATTTATTCATTCAACAATATTTATGGAGTGCTTTCTTTCAAGGCCTTTGGAAGGGGTGGATTTCTGAAATATTTAACAACTAGAATGGCCTGGGCAAGAAGCAATTAGAATAAGAAGCTGACTGATCAGAACAGACACTACCTATAAACAACCAACATACTCTGATTTGCACAGGTGTGATCTCAACCCTGGGGCTGATGGCGCAGAAGTGAGCATGAACGACAGCTCACGTTCTGGTGGCCTTGTGGGAAAGGTCAGTCGGGGCTTCCCAGAAGGGATGCTTCTACGACGAATCCTGCAGGAGCAGAGGGAGAAGAAAGGAAGCAGGCACCCCTGGGATTCGGGGTGGACATCACACATACAAAGTCCCATAAGCAAGAGAGCCTGCTGGGACTTCGGGAGCCTTCCAGTAGCTGGGCGAGGCTGGAAGGAGGTGATGAGGCTGGGAGGGACCAACCTACGAAGGACCTGGCATGACTTGATGACGATTTGAGACGTAATACCTCAAGATGATTTGGAGAGGCTGGAGGATTTCTAATCAGGAAATGATTATATCAAACTGTCTTTCCAGTGTTTTTGGAAACATCAGTGTCTGTGTTCTAATTAACAGGCGAGTGTAAGGGGTCAGAGACATGATAACCAGCAGCTCCCCCAGTCAGAGAACACAAGCCAGTGCTTAGAAAAGTGTTGCCCTGGGGTCTGCTTTGTGTGGACAGGAATATGGATCCTCCTAACATTTCCTTTACACAGGACACTGTTCAGCCTGCAAACAAGAAGCAATGCTTCTGTATGTGTTACAGTCCAAGCTAATGGTTTCATGAATGCTATGGACAGGGGCGTTAAGCCTGACTATCTGAGCCATCCGTGTCTAAGATACCTGTTTCTAACATAGCTGTACTACCCCATGAAATCTTGTTAATGACAGCTGCAGGTGAAAGAGAGGTCTGAAGAAGACCCCGTGGAGTTAAGGGGCCTCTTTCTTCTAGATCAGCAGTTCTCAAACTCTGTGGTCTCTGCACCCCTATTTTATTCTCTTAAAAATTATTAAGGGCCCCCAGGAACTTTAGTTTAAGTGGATTATATCTATTAATATTTGCCATATTAGAAATTAAAGCTGAAAAAAGTTTAATTATTCATTAATTCATTTAAAACAACAATAGTAAACCAATTATATGTTAACATGAGTAACATATTTTTATTTTTATTTTTATTTTCATTTTTTTGGGACTGTCTCTGTCACCTAGACTGGAGTGCAGTGGCGCAATCTCGGCTCACTGCAACCTCTGCCTCCCGGGTTTGAGTGATTCTTGTGCCTCAGCCTCCCAAGTAGCTGGGATTACAGGCGCCTGCCACCACACCTGGCTAATTTTTGTATTTTTAGTAGAGACAGGGTTTCAGGGTTTCTCTACTAAACCCATTTCTCTACTAAACCTGTTTCTCTACTAAACCTAAAACCAAACTAGTTTCAAACTCCTGACCTCAGGTGATCTGCCCGCCTCAGCCTCCCAAAGTACTGGGATTATAGGCATGAGCCACCATGCCTGGCAGAATAATGTATTTATATTTTTTAAAAAAACCTGTATTTTCCAAAACAAAAAGAATCAATGAGAAGTATAGCACTGTCTTCAGTTTTGCAAATCTCTTTAAACTCCGACTTAATAGAAGACAGCTAGATTCTCATTTCTGCTTCTGCCTCGAATCTGCTGCAATATTGCATACCACGTGGATTCCAGAACAATGTACTTTGTCATAGGAAAGAAGGAGAGTAAAAATACTAAATCATTAGTATCACAATGAAAATAGTTTTTACCTCATGGACTCCCTAACACCTCCCAAAACCTCCCTAAGGTTTTAGGGCTCCATGGGGGCTGTTGCTTTAGAGGCTTATTCTGACATATCTGCCCTTTGAAGGGAGCCAAACCAACCTGCTATTCCCTCATTGTTTCTGTGGGAGCATCTCACCCACTCCCTCAGACCATGTCTTGCTCAGGGCCGCCATAACAAACTACCCCAGACTGGGTGGCCTAGACAACACATTGATTTTTCAGAGCTCTGAAGGCTGGAAGTCCCATGATCTGAGTGCCCCCGATTCAGTTCTTAGTGACAGCCCTCTTCCTGGCTTGCAGGCAACCACCTTCTCACTGTGTCCTCACATGGAGCGAGAGGGAGAGCAAGCTCTTTGGTTTCTTCTAAGGGCACTAATCCCATCACGAAGGTCCTATCCTCATAGCCTCATCAAAACCTAACACCCCTCAAAGGCCCCATCTCCAAATACCTTCACATTAGGGGCTGGGGCTTCACCATATGAATTTGGGGAGACACAATTCAGTCTGGTGCAGCCTGTGAGTTCTGACAGGACAGAGCCATGCCCAAAGGCAGGAGGTGGACATGCCCATGGCCTCAGGACTGCTGGTACCACCTGGACAGAGTATCAGGCTCGCCCCAGCCCATGACCCCATGAAGTGCATTTCTCTAGAGTCTCTCAGACTGGTCCAACCCCCAGCCCATCCACAGTTGTGTGATCTAAAACTTATCCTGTGAACCTCTCTCTCCTTTACTTCCCATGGCCATTTAGGCAACAAGCACCATCAGTCTAACTTTATAAATAGTTCTCAGTCTCTCCACCTTCTCCATGTCCATGAATAACACCTGGTTCTGAACACCCCACCCCTCTACTGGGCTCCTGTGATGCCCCCATTTACCCTCACATCTCCAAACCATGCTCCACAGAAACTAAGGAAGCTTTGAAAGCCCAGATCCAAGTATGCCGTCCATCGTTAAGATGCTTTGGTGGCTCCCATTGCACTTAGGCTGAATAGCAATAGATTCCTTCTGCATTTCCAGCCCCGCCTGCATGCCATTCCCTCCCTGCACTTCAGCTCCTCCTTGCTTACCTCCTGTGCCTGGGTTGGCTCCTCCCAACCCAGGGCCTTGGCTCAAGCTGCTCCCCAACCTGAATACTCTTTCCCACCTTCTTCTACTTCCACCTCAGATCAGCCATTACTCTCTCGAGGAATCCTTTTGTAACCTCTCTGACTAGGTCAGCTCCTCCCAATAGAGCCATTTATAGCCATTTTCATAGTTGCAATTTTATAGCTATTGGTGTGAGTTTTAAAATCAATAACTAATTTTCCAACAGACTGATACTCACTGAAGACCTGTGCATTAGCTATGTATTGTTGTGTAACAAATTACACCCAAAACATGGCAGCTTAAAACAACAAATTATTATCTCACAGCTTCTATTGGACAGGAGTTTGAGGGCAGCTTTGCTGAGTGATTCTGGGTTAGGATCACTCATGAGGTTGCAGTCAAGATGTTGGCCAGGGCTAAAGTCATCTGAAAGCTTGACTGGGGCTGGAAGATCCACTTCCAAAATGGTCACATGGGCTTCTCCATAGGGCTGCTTGAGTACCCTCACAACATGGCCACTGGCTTCCCCCAGAAAACAA
This sequence comes from Homo sapiens, assembly GCF_000001405.40. Taxonomy (NCBI): domain Eukaryota; kingdom Metazoa; phylum Chordata; class Mammalia; order Primates; family Hominidae; genus Homo; species Homo sapiens. Next base: position 20,546,133 of record NC_000002.12, on the reverse strand, counting down.
GAACTCACAATGTTTCTAATGACCTCACTTCAGGCATACTACTTCATCATTCCAGAATGTTCTCTTGATTACAAAGGTCAACCTAATTCGATGTGGAAAGGGGCTATATAAGTGCATGAATACAATGAGAAAGGGATCATCCATGGCCATCTTGAAGGCTGAAAATCCCATCTGTCCTTGTTCACTGCTGTATCTTCAGTGCTTCACTCAGGGCCCAGCACACTGTAGACATTCAAATAACAATTTTGATAAATGAAAAGGGTTTGATTAGATTATTCAATTCAAACAGTGAGGATGGGCACAGTGTGTTGCAGGAAGTCAGGGACCCCGAACGGAGGGACTGGCTGAAGCCATGGCAGAAGAACATGGATTGTGAAGATTTCATGGACATTTATTAGTTCCCCAAATTAATACTTTTATAATTTCTTATGCCTGTCTTTACTGCAATGTCTAAACATAAATTGCGAAGATTTCATGGACACTTATCACTTCCCCAATCAATACCCTTGTGATTTCCTATGGCTGTCTTTACTTTAATCTCTTAATCCTGTCATCTCGTAAGCTGAGGAGGATGTATGTCGCCTCAGGACCCTGTGATGATTGTGTTAACTGCCCAAATTGTAGAGCGTGTGTGTTTGAACAATATGAAATCTGGGCACCTTGAAAAAAGAACAGGATAACAGCAATGTTCAGGGAACAAGGGAGATAACCTTAAACTCTGACCGCCGGTGAGCTGGGCAGAACAGAGCCATATTTCTCTTCTTTCAAAAGCAAATGGGAGAAATATCGCTGAATTCTTTTTCTCAGCAAGGAACATACCTGAGAAAGAGAATGTGCCCCTGAGGATAGGCCTCTAAAATGGCCCCCTTGGGTGTGGCTGTCTTCTATGGTCGAAACTCTAGGGATGAAATAAGCCCCAGTCTCCCATAGCACTCCCAGGCTTATTAGGATGAGGAAATTCCTGCCTAATAAATTTTGGTCAGACCGGTTGCTCTCAAACCCTGTCTCCTGATAAGATGTTATCAATGACAATGCATGCAGAAACTTCATTAGCAATTTTAATTTTACCCCGGTCCTGTGGTCCTGTGATCTCGCCCTGCCTCCATTTACCTTGTGATATCTTATTACCTTGTGAAGCATGTGATCCCTGTGACCCACACCCTATTCATACACTCCCTCCCCTTTTGAAAATCCCTAATAAAAACTTGCTGGTTTTATGGCTCAGGGGGCATCACGGAACCTACCGACATGTGATGTCTCCCCCGGACACCCAGCTTTAAAATTTCTCTCTTTTGTACTCTGTCCCTTTATTTCTCAACCCAGCCAATGCTTAGGGAAAATAGAAAAGAACCTACGTGACTATCAGGGGCAGGTTCCCCGATAACAGTGAGCCTCCCCACCCCTTTTACCATTTCCAGCAAAGTCTCAGCAATAACTAAGTCCCATTTTTTGCCTTGCCTCTCATGGCCCCAAAGACTGAGTATCAGAGCCCTACTCAGAAGGTTAAGGGAACACCATCAGGCCACAGCCCTGGCTGCAGTCAGCTCTGGCCTCCGCATGCACCCTTGTCACTGAGTGTGCATTTCTTGAGGATGCTCCCCGGGCAGCCGTTCATGCCTCAGACATTTGGATCAGAGGAACACCAACTGAGGGAACTGGAAAGCAGTGGCTTCACCTTATTTGCTTGTTCCACGTCAGCTGCCCTCCAATGAGGGTGTGTTGAGCTGCACAGACAGCCCTGTCAGGGGCCTGTTTTTGGTGGCTCTGCAGGATTACAAGACTCCATCACTGAGGAGTGAGGGAAGCAGCTGACACTCCAGCTTGCACTCTGGATGTCTCTCTGTATGTGTCTGCCACTGAAAACTGGCTCTTCAATAATGCATGGGGCTATTAGCGCCAAGCTGAGGATGACTTGCTCCCTCCCAGCGATCAAAGCTGCCGCTGGGAGCCCAGTCGATGATCAGATTTCATGGGCTCCTTGTAACTGTTGCCCCTTCATATGAGATTAGAATGGACTATTTCATGGCCAAGGATGAAAGCAGCAAGGATTTGGGAGAAAATCCGGCTTCCCCGATAAATCAAAATGCTTCCATTTCATTACAAATGGGTGCATGACACAGCTAATAGCTCCTGTGAGAGGGAACGCTGCGGGACCAGCTGTCTCCACCAGCTTCTTTCGGAGGCTGGGTAAAATGTGTAAGATGCTGGACCAGGGAAGCCACTTGATTGCCTTATGTCCAGGGCACCTTCCAGACCATAGAGGCCTGCCACAAATCCCTGGGAAATTCGCCTTTATTCTGCAGCGTTAGCAAAGTTTGGAGCAATCCCCTCAGAGGCGATTGGGTGGTTGGAGCCAGGACTGCTGGGGAGGAGGCGGCTGCAGCCAGCAGCTGACATAACATTAATAGCTCCTCACCACTGTGCATGCTCATATGTCCAGTACTTTGCATATAGTAAGTACCTCTAATCCTTGCAGCAACTGCAATGTATTATTAGATCTTGCTACAGTGAAGAAACTGAAGATCAGAGAGCTGAAATGATCTTGTCAGGACCACCCAGCTAAGGAGTGCTGGAGCCCAGAGTGAAAGCCCAGGGCTGTGCTCATGCCCCTGTACCAGCTGCTCCCTCAAGTCCCTCCAGAAGCAAAGACAAATCTAGTAGCAAAAGGGAGTGTCCCTGGAGGAGCTGGCCATTTCAGTTACAGGAGAGGGGTGGGGTATGCAGTCGACTATGAGAATCCCCTGGTCTGACTTCAGAGGCTTCTCACAGTCAGGCCCAGAGGGCATCGCAGCCGCCTTTAGTGTCTTCTCCAGGGAGCTCTCTCCTTTCTCGGCTGAGATGCTGATTTCTTCTGGCTGCTGGCTCTGAGCCCCAGGGTGGATCATCTATCCTCTCTGTGCTTGCTTCCATCATCTGTGAATTGGAGGTAATGACGCCGCCTTCGTGGCAAGACAGCCCAGGAGCTGCTCGGGCCGCGTAGTACAATGGGATTCTCCTGGCTCATATATCCCAGCGAGAGCCTACCTCTGCCCACCTGCCCATGCCTTCCTTCCTCTGCAGTAGCTTCCCCGCTTCATCTATGCCCCCAGAGTCTGGGAAGCCTGGGTCCAAACTCCTCCTCCTTTTGAAAGATCTTCCCTATGTGGACTTCCCACCAGCCTATAGCCTGGATGGGTGGGATCTCCTCATCTCTAGTGTTGTGAGATGAGGTCACATATCACCAACTTGGCCAGGAGCCACGAGGAGCAGGGTGTGGTCTCTCCACTTCCACCTCCCATCTGTGCCCCCAGATCCCCTATATCTTCTTGGGCATCCAACCTGAGGCAGGCTGCAGCAAGGCTGATGGTAATTTTGTAGACCTGGCTTCAGAGTGTTGGGTGGTCTCTGAGTCAAAGAACAATTCCCCCATCCATCTCCCTGCCCCAGTGGACGGAAGAATGCCTCCTGCAGAACGAGCACAGGCCAAGGAGTCAGAGGCAGGCACCAGCGGCACCCTCAGAGAAGGGTCCTCCCTGCCCGCCTCCCCTGTCCAGGTTTGGACACATCTGTGTCCCTGACGTGTCCCTGATAGACCCAGAGGTACAGATGCCATAGGGAGGCTGACCCTCCCACCTGACCCTCCGACCAGATCAGAGCCCTTGAGGGTGGACTGTGTCTGGCTCATGCCCACGTGCCCAGGGCCAGCATCATATCTGCACGGGGAGATGCCCCACGTGTGGCGAGTGTTAGACCTAGTCAGGGGTGAGGAGAACCGGGACTGAGGCCTGGAGACATGGTGGGTGGGCTTCGCAGGCAAACTCGGAGACAAGAAAAGCTGGGTTGGCCACGCAGAAGGGGCTCAGTGATCGGGCTCTGACCAGGGCACTCATAAATACGTGTTTGCAAATCACCGACTTTCAATCCCCCCCACCTCAAATTCAGAGACAGCTTGATGTATGCTGTGCGGAGGAGCCATGGCCTAGGGACAGTGCCATCACTAACGCCCTGGGGAACTCCACACGCACGGCCTCTCCCTGGGACTCAGATTCCTCACTCACACCAGGAGCTGGAGTAGAGGTTCTCAGCAGCCCCCCATCAGCTCCCACAAAATGGCTGTTGTGAAATTCCCTGCACTGTGCCCAAACCCCTAACCACAGGCAGTGGAGACCCCAGGCCTCAGTGTGCTATCAGCCTGAGGAAAGGTGGCTTTATCCTGCCAGAATTCCCTCCCTCAGTTCTTCCCACCACTCCCAGCTCGTTGTCCACCTGCTGGGCAGTCCTATACCTGGGCCTGTCAGGACGAAGGCCTGCCCGGGCTAGCGGCTGTGCAGAGATCAGAAAGGAATTACTGCAAGAACCCATCTGTTTGTGCCTCTGCTTCAGAAGCTACTTGTGGGTTGAAGTAAAAGCTTTGGCTCTGTTGTCAGGGACAGTGAAGAGCATCTGTGTCCTTCGATGCTGCACATATAGGAGCTGGAACCCTAGGACTCTTCAGTGTCCCCTTTGGATGGGGCAGAAGGCCTGATTGACAAGTGGCTCTGAGGAGAAAAGTCTAAACAGACATCATTGAATGAACACGAATTGTTCCTCTTGAGGTACATATAGGCTCCAGTTTGCCTTCAGTCAGGACACAGAAAGGAATCTGCCAGGAAGGGGACTGGAGCGGGGATTAGGAGGGTTGAGCCTGCTCTGGTGAGCTCCATGAGCCTGGGCATGGCCTCCACCTTTCCACACCCGGGAAGGTTTGCACGTGCTGCTCTCTGGGGTCTGGGCCAATGGCTGCATCCCCCGACAGACACTAACAGTTCTAGTCACCATGGGGAAGAGGCGCAATGGTCATCCCTTCCTAGGAGAGCGTTTCAGAGATCATGCTGTGCGGCGGGTGTTTGATGTCTCACCATCCCCTCAGACCAGTGCGGTTGGGCTACCAGCATCTGCCCGCAAGGTGATCACTAGTTTCAGGCTTAAGTAAGCATTACTTCAGCACTGCCTGTGGGTTCCACGGCAGGCCAGGCATTTTCACACAGTGTTTCATGATATCCCACAATCCTCATTATCTCCCAATGAACCAGGTCCTGCTCAACACAGTCTGGGGCTCCCCGCTCCCCCTCTGCAGCTGCTCCATCTGCCAGGGACTTGACTCAGCCTGCTCCTCTTTCAATATTCAAGACAGAAATGCCAGGTGTGGCAATCTTGTCGGTCCTTCGAGTGTCAGCCAAATGCCCCTTCCTCCAGGAAGCCTGCCAAACTTCTCCCTCCCTGTCACGTATGCCTGTGCTTGCATCCTGGCCAGGCCCTTGTCACCCTTGTTGCTGTGGAGTTATTTGTACACCTGACTTTGCCCCCTGGAGCTCCCCAGGGCACCAATGCTGAGTCTTTCATTCCCTGGCGACACCCCCTTCCCCTCAGGCACTTGCTGAGTGAATAGGCGAGCACGGTTGTGGTCTGGCTGACACCTTCCTCGACACCCAAGACAAGGAATAAAGGGTTAGAGTCTTCAAAGTGATCCCTTTAGCCTGCAGGGAGACCGCAGCAGGGTGTACACTGGATGAAATTACGTAAAACACGAAGAGAGCACGGGGCACAGGAGTGCTTCTCAAGAAAGGGGCTCTGGGGCAGGAGCAGAAGCCCGTGGCAGGGACGAGGGCTGTGGGCCACTGAAATGCTCCCTGCCAGCCCCAGTGCCCGCAGACGGCCCCTCCAGCCTGGGGGAAGCTCTGCCTGCCTCCTCAGGCCGCCCGCAAACTGCTCGTGGCCCAGGGACCTCAGGGTTGCCTCCAGTGGACACACTTCGTGTCTTGCTAGAGCCCCGTTTCTAAGGGAGAGGCAGCCGACAGCTTGCTGGGAGATTTCTAAGAAGAAAGCTGGTGGGGTGGCTACTGCTTTCTAGATTACTCAGTGTGTGACTGGAAACACACTGGTCGCTTTGCACGGTCACAGCCGGCACAGCCTGTAGTCACAGAATGTTCTGGGCTCACCCTCTTCTCTGGCCTGGGGAAGTGAGGCTCAGCGTAGAGGCTGTACCCACAGGCACATGACGGTCTGCACCCAGGCCAGGGCTCAGTGAGGAGCCGGAGTGTCCCGGCCTGCCTGGAC